>NC_000009.12:35919090-36070606 GCF_000001405.40 Homo sapiens | reverse complement strand
CATTCCATTTTGATCAATTTCAGATCAGTATCTGGCTCCTTCTTTTCTAGTTCCCTAAAGAAACTCAGCTCTCTACTCTCTATTTTTTTTTTTTCAAAAGAATGGATTATTTTAGATTCTATTAGATTCTAAAAGATTCTATTCTCTTTCAAAACCCAGCTCTCTATTCTTTTTACACTTTCTCTTCTATGGAGCTTTCATTCACTCCAAGGTTCAAGGGTTACTTCAAGGTTGACTGTGGGCATGATAATTCTCCTCATCTTTAGTCTGGATTCCTAATCACCTCTGAGATATGGGTCTTTTAGTGTAAAGACCCTAACACATCATATGCTTCAATTTCTTCAAATTCCTTTCCCAACATAAATGCTACTGTTACTATGTTTTAATTATTTTTTTAAAATCCAGTAATACATTACTATTGTTTTAAAAATCTGTGTCCTAATTTACCCACTTTCTATTTTCACATTCTCTTTTGCATCTCAAATAATTTTCTGTCTGAAGTAGATATTTTAGAACTTCCTTTACAGAGAACTTCTAGAAAGGCTCCACTAATGCAATTTTGTTTTAGCTGTTTAGAACTAGCTTAATTTTGCCTTTCTTGAAATACCTTTTTGCTGGATATAGAATGCTAGATTGATAGTTACTTTCTTTCGGAACCATTTAGGAATCATTCTACTGTCTTCTGGCTTCCTCTGTTGCTACTGGGAAATCAGTCGTTGGTCTTCTTTGAAGGCAATGCCTTTTTTTCTGACTACTTTTAAGATCTTTGGCTATGATGTCTGTCTATAATATGTGGATTTTTTTCCCTTTGATCCTGCTGGGTATTTGTAGGGCTTCTTTAAACACTGCTCCTGCCCATCCTATTTATTTTTCTTCTAGTACTCCAGTTAGAGAGGATTTTCTCACTCTATCCTTCCTGTGTCCTAAACTATTTTTCAGCCCCATGCCCCTCTGTGTTTCTTTTCCATATAATTTCTTTAGTTCTATCTTCCAATTTACTTTCTTTGCTGTACCTAAACTATTATAACACCCATCCATTGTGTTTGTATTTCAATTATACTGTTCTGGAAATTCTCTTTGATTCTTTTTAAAGTATGCTTGCTCTTCTTTTTTTTTTTTTTTTTTTGCAACCTCCACCTCCAGGTTCAAGTGATTCTCCTACTTCAGCCTCCCGAGTAGCTGGGATTTACAGGTGTGCACCACCACACCCAGCTAATTTTTGTATTTTTAGTAGAGACAGGGTTTCATCATGTTAGCCAAGCTGGTCTCAAACTCCTGACGTCAGGTGATCCACCCGCCTCAGCCTCCCGAAGTGCTGGGATTACAGGTGTGAGCCACCGCACCCGGCCTGCTCTTCATATTTGTAAGCCTATTTTATTTCTTAAACATATTAAACATTTTAGTCTGCATCTGATCATTTCTATATCTGAAGTATCTTTAGGTCTGATTCTATTCACCATTGTTCCTGTTGGCTTTTATTTAACAAATCATGTTTTCTGGTGAGTTCTGTGACTTTTTTTTATTATGAACTGCTTATTTTTCCTTAGGACTTTATCCGTGGAAATCCCAAGAGGTCTGAAATACAAGATCAATTCCTCCAGAGAGGATCTGTGTTACCTTTTCTCAAGCATCTGAGGGCCACTACCATTTCAGAACCACTTGAAATAAATTCTCAGCTTGAGGTTTTACAAACACTCACTTGATACAAATTTGGGCTGCAAACTCATGGGAAGACCAGCTTAGGGTTATGAATTTTCAATGGAATAAGACTAATGTTGGAGAGAAGCAGTTTTCCTTGCAGATCCCCCTGGAAAGGGAGATGAGCATATTTCCTGGTCACCCTAATACTAAGTGTATAGTCCCTTTGGAATCCCAAATTTATTGGTGGGAAGGGAAGGGGATTTCACTTAGATTTTCCACCTTCAATCAGAACCCAGGATTTGTCTCCTGACTTCTGAGCCTCGTGAAGCTACAAAGCTATAAAAATTGATTCAGCAAATGCCCTCAAAGCTAATGCCTTCTTTACTGTTCTTACTTCTCTGGATTCCTGCCTTCATTTAGTTTTTGGCTTGAGCATTCCGTATTTTCTTTCCAGCAAATTCATCTAGCATTTTAAGTTATTTTCACCTGGAGGACTGGTCCAGGTAGCAAGCCTGCCCTATTGCCAGAAAGAGAAGTTTTAACTAGTACCTTTAAGTATAGAAGAATAGTAAATGAATGCCAGGAAACTAGGCTTAAAAGATTAGATTATCTCCCTGAATACCATCTATATTCAATCCATCATAACGAATCTTGCTGATGGATTCTGCCTTTGAATCTCTGATTTATTCTTGAATATTTGACTCTATTACTATTATCCTAGTCTGGGATTTATTAGCTAAGCTATTACCTCTTTTTAGCTAAGCTAGAGGGGTTTGTGGGATCTAAAACTTAGCCTGCACAGGATTATGAATTTAAGTTTCTAAAATATTGGTTTTGTTATTTGTTATATATTGGTCTCCTTTTACAGAATCTTCATCATCACCCTCTCATTAATAATGAGTTGAGCCTCAAAATGCTATCTTTTTAGGATTTGGTCCCACTTTACCTATCTGAGCATAGACTTGCAGCCCAAAATAGGTCTGTCTTCTCTTTTCCTCCTGCATAAGCCATGTGCATTTTTGATAACATACCTTTGATCCACAGTCTTAGGTCTTTAGGTCTTTACCCAAATTATACCAATCCTTTCAGGCCTCTCTCATTTGCAACGTTTTTCCTGATAACTCCAAACATTCTTGCTCTGCTTTCTTATTTCCCTGAGCCCTTATGTGTGCAGTATATATTTTAATTAGCCTGACTCAATTAAATATAATTCTTTAGTATTTGGAGTTATGCTAAAAGTTGCTTAATCAGAATTCTAAACTAAGTCTGCTTCCAGTTAATGCTGTTTCTAATATATAAAACTCTAAGTATTCAACAGGTACTTGTTAATTTGCATAAGAAAAAAACCAGACTCTATAAAATCTGATGTAACAATGCTTTATATTAAACTGGTTTATCTTAGGTTGGCTAGAACAAGACAAAATCTTAAATGGCATTAAAATTTTAAAACTTTAAGTAAATTTCTTAGCAAATCCCTTCAAAAGGAACTCTACAACAGCTTACCAAAAAAGAAAAACATTAGCTCCTCCAAATGTAATTACTCATTCTCTGAAACTCAAATCAAACTATACATAAAACTACTCTCCAGGGTAAATGCTACCCTTAAAATTGCAAGCCTATAGAAATGGCTCATACATCTACAAGTTCATCCCAGGGATCATTCCAGTATTAAGGAAAAGATACTAAAAGCCTGGTTCATAAATTATTCTGATGTTGATAAACAACCAGTCCACTTAAAATAGGCTATATTACACCAAATTTACCCAATTCACTTTATAACAAATAGCTTTTATGTCTAGACTAGACTTCAACAATCATGACAGTGACTGTTATGTGAGGTTTATAATGCAGAACCCTTCCTGCATTAAAGTACTCTTATCTCTATTTTCGTTTCTAAATAACATGTAAGAAATCAAATTGAGTCTTATATTGAAGAATTTGTGGGATCAACTTTTAATATAAAAACAAAAGGATCCTTTTGCCATACAGATTTTTGGAAAATGGTTGCTTAATTCTAGGCCAAATTAGGGAAGATAGACTGGGAAAAGTAAACTATTCTTAGTATTTCTATCATAGGACAGTTTGTCTCTCTTACCTTTCCTGTCTTGTCCTTCATCAACACATACTGGCAGACTTCCTAGGGCAATGCAGAAATCCAGACAAGAGAAGGAAGCACACTAAAATAACGGAGGACAGGCTATGGAAGATGGACAGTGTCAGACATCATGTAGGAGAAAAGAAGGAATTATCACAGTTAGCCACTTTGTTCAAGAGAAACTAAAACTGGTTATTTCAAAGATAGAGAGATAAGAAAATAAAGATCTTTTACTTCTCTGTAGCAGGGCTCCTTTCAATAAGAACGGAGGAGAGCTATAATTTGGAAATTTGTCTTCAGAGGAATAGATACAACTTAGCAAACAGTACAAAGGAACAAAAGATAAATAAGACTGTCAAGTTTAAAAATAAGAGATACAGGCTTTGAGAAAAGAAAAAAAATAAAAACTATAACCTAGAAGTAGTTAAGAGAGTTATTCTACCTTCTCCAAGAAAACACAGCAATAGGAATCCCAATGTTTGTATATAAAAATGGTGCATGAGATATATGCACTTAAGTATCCTTAATTACATAGCCTTACACTACAAAAACTGTAATATTGTCACATTTAAGAACAGAGTTCTAGAAAATGAACAAAGTAGCCCCAATGAGGAGGTTTTTTCATATCAGGCACAATCTTCTGCACATATTTGTATGGTGTAAAATACTTCCGCTATACCCCTGCCTTAATATCTACCCCATCTAGATACCAGTGTTAGAAATCCCACTATTGAGATGAGAGTCCTTCAGATTTAATATAGCTTTTGTAACTTAGTATTTTTTCCCCCAAATGCAAGATTCTAGGAAAGTCTGAGCTATTCACACTAGCCCTGTGATTTTCTTTCTTTTATTACTTTTCTTTATGATTAGAGGTAGTTTATAGAAATGAATACCACCTGGATGGGTCAAGAGATAGGAGATGAGACAAAAGAGAACATGAAACACGAGAAAAACTATTTCACAACCTTGGGTACAACTAGTTGCTTTGTTATAAAAATATTATAGGTTAAATCCTTTGTATGTGAGATTTAGGCATTTCTTTAAAATTAATACTTCATTTCAACAAAAATCAACTAAAATCATAACATTTCCGAACACAGTAAATGACATTTTTGTCAATGCAAAATTTTCTGTAAGGTAAAAGGGAAGTTGTATAAAAATAAATTCATTTTAAAAATTTAAGTAATTTTGTTAATTCTGATAACATCTGAATAGGCTATCCACATTTGTTAAATAAAATGCATACCTCATATTCTTTTCTGCAAACTTTGGAAATATCATTCTTTGAAGATGCCTAAAAACCAACAAATTTCTCCATTAATTTATTATACATGCTATTCAGCACAGGGCAAAAAGAACATAAATTAGCATTTGTTAATTACTGATATAGTATCCTTTATTTCATCAAGGAAAACCTTATGTTCAAATATTTTAAATTTCCTAAAATACAACAAACAAATTTCATGCAATTTCTTTAAAACAAACATAATCTGTAGGGCTACTCAATATTCTAGAGCTTTGCTCTAACTTTTATGGCTTTAATTTCACATAACAACACAGTCCTTTTGTTATTTCAGAAACTAGATGTCTTTGAAGGAAATTGTAAATCAGAGGATTTTTTTTTTTTTTTTTTTTTTTTTTTAGCTGAATTCCACTCTGTAGCAAATTTTCTTGTGAAGCTCTGCCAGGGCATTTACATTTTGCTTTTTCTTTAACTCTTCACATTCTAAACTTTCATTCTGAACTTGCTGAGTATATAACGGAGGGGGCAACTAAATAGGGAAGAGGTACTATGCCAGGCATTTAACAAGTTATTTTTGTGTAAGTCTCTTAACAAGTTTATAAAGAAGATACTAACCCCTCTACAGATGAGGAAACTGGTGCTTAGAGAAGTAGCAAGCTATTTGCCATATTTAAGTATATACTTTCTATATAAAAGAAGCCAAAAAAAATCTGCTGAGGGGTGGCTGTTTTTCCACATGAGTCAGTTTCCATTCCAGAGCTGTGAGCTCTGGTTCCTTGCTCCATTCTTCCTGTTCTATCACCTAGGCCAGTGCAATTTAGAACAGGCCAGCTGATGAGGACAGGGAGAACAAGAAGAAGAATGGGCCAGCAACTGTTTTACAACTCACTAAATTCATTATACTTCAAATCCTCTGCAACTCAGCTTCACCTCAATGCCTGGAGGACAGCAGCAGACAGCTAGGTCATGTGCTGCCCAGACTGTTGCTCAGGCTATAGGATAGTCGTCTCTGTGAAAGTGAAGGTGATACCATATCTCATATACTCTTATCTGAGATAAGTCCCTAGAAGAAGAAAATAAGAGAAGGCTTTCCAACTGTGGTTTCAGGTCCATCTAACCACTTCTAGTTTCCCAGTTAAGTCTATTTCTGCCACTTGCAGTAGAGGAACCAAGAGGCTAGTTTTTCCTCTCTGAGAAACCACTACTAAAACATACAAAGTGAGGACAAACTCAGGCACCTAAGCTGAATTGGGGCAGAACTATATCAAATCAAAGATAAGTAATAACTCAGTGTATGAGTCAGATTCATCTTAGGAGCAGAGAAGGGATATAAGAACACACTCAGGGTAAAGCCATGATGAAACAGAGAAAAGGAGATGAAAAAATGAGCCAACTGTGTCAAATGTTCTCATCCAAGCATAGCCTACATTTACCCAGCCATCATCAGCATTGATTCAGCATGATTGCAGGCAAAGTATGGATGACCTAAATTCCTATAATATTCTTTTTTGCATGGCAGAGACAAGGAATGATAAGAAAGAATAAAAGCAGGCTGAGGCCATATGCAGCAGCCATAAATAAAAAAACAGCAAGTCTAAAAGGAAATGGTCTATACAAAAAATGCTAAATTTGCAGTTTTTACGGGTTACCTCTGCAAAGCTAGGAGGTGGGCAAGGCCCAAGACATGTGCACAGCTAAAACCAAACTGCACTCCATGATGTTTGAGAGCCTGACTACCCAGTGTTACCTGCTTGCATGCCTGTCGACACTCCAAGGCAATAGCCAGTTCACAGCAGCCTAAGCCAACCCAGCCATCAGACTTCTTAAACACACCTTAAAAACAAAATGTTTAAATGTTTTGGTCATAAGTAGCAATAAAAAGAGATAGCATGCCAGATGTTTCAAGGCTACTACTAAAAGTCAAAGCAGCTGTCCATAAGAAAACTGGTTCAGACAGCAGGGCCTCAAAATTATTAAGGACCTCCCTTTACCCTTACTTCCACTGCTATCAGTCTCTTTCAAAGTCCCTCACAGCATAATTATCAGGTCTTTTGTTTTTTCTCTTTTCCCTCCCACCCTAAATGCTCTTTAAGTCATTCTCACTCTTGGGTAGGTAACATCTTTACCAGAGGACGTACAAGGGAAGGAAAGCAAGGAAGAGAGCTTTCTTACTGTTAGACTGTTAATCAGAGGCAAAGATTTTAATTTAACATAAGCAGACTAACAAGAAAGGGCACAAGTATTACTGTATTCAAAACAGTAAATACCTAGAATAGCATAAAATTCATGATCCTGTTTAAAAACTGATACTTAGTAAATAGGGGCAATTTTTGTGAGTCAGGTATATCTGGCTTTGATGGGCACATTTAATCATGGGGCAAAATGACCATGTATTATTCTGGTTCAATTGATGTTCAGCAGTGACTCTTCCAACCAAATGATTGTGAAACTGAAAGATGATAAAATTATAAAAAGTGTTCTAATTTTTTTTTTGAGATGGAGTCTTGCTCTGTTGCCCAGGCTGGAGTGCAGTGGCGCGATCTTGGCTCACTGCAACCTCCGCCTCCCAGGTCCAAGCAATTCTCCTGCCTCAGCCTCCTGAGTAGCTGGGACTACAGGCGTCTGCCACCATGCCCGGCTAATTTTTGTATTTTTAGTAGAGATGGGATTTCACCATGTTGACCAGGCTGGTCTTGAACTCCTGACCTCAGGTAATGTGCTTGCCTTGACCTCCCAAACTGCTGGGATTACAGGTGTAAGCGACCACGCCCGGGCTTCCAATTTGCTTTTAAACTCCTTTTGCAATCATAAATGTCAGTGAATGAATCCTAAGGCAAAAGTAGGAGATAGGGCCAGGCTCAGTGGCTCCCACCTGTAATCCCAGCACTTTGGGAGGCCAAAGCGGGCAGATCACTTGAGGTCATGAGATCAAGACCAGTCTGGCCAACATGGTGAACCCCCATCTCTACTAAAAATTCAAAAATTAGCTGGGCATGGTGGCACACACCTGTAGTCCAAACTACTCGGGAGGGTGAGGTGGGAGAACTGCTTGAACCCAGGAGGTGGAGGCTGCAGTGGGCCGAGACTGCACCACTGCACTCCAGCCTGGGCAACAGCAAGACTCTGTCTCAAAAAAACAAAAAACCAAAACAACAACAACAACAAAAGACTGGGTGTGGTGGCTTACACCTGTAATCCCAGCACTTTGTGAGGCCGAGGTGGGTGGATCACTTGAAGTCAGGAGTTCAAGATCAGGCTGACCAACATAGTGAAACCTCGTCTCCACTAAAAATACAAAATTAGCCAGGTGTGGTGGTGCATGCCTGTAATCCCAGCTACTTGGAAGGCTGAGGCAGGAGAATTGCTTGAAACTGGGAAGCAGAGGTTGCAGTGAGCTGAGATTGTGCCATTGCACTCCAGCCTGGGCAAGAAGAGTGAAACTCCATCTCAAAAAAAAAAAAAAAAAAGTAGGAGATGCAAGAAATAATTATGAAAAGAGAAAAGCCTTATGCTTGCAGGAATGCTGCAAATTCCTCCTTATCTCCTTTAAAATTGCCTTATGCTGCTTCTATGTAAAACATAAATTTGAGTATCTATATCTGAAGTAAGTTGGATTATTATTTATATTTGAAAAAAAATGTCAGGGATTCAAGGCAGTAAGTAACATAGTTCCCCAAATGAAACTAGGACTTCACACAACAAATAGAAGCATTCTGCTAAAAAGTAAAACAAGGCAAATAAATGGTTCACAGATAGACAAAGCTCTCAAAATATAATAAACTACCCCAATTATAAAAATTGACCAAAAATACTGCATATTATAAGCTTATCACTATGTGTCTTAAGGGTACAAAGGGTAACAAATTCACATCTAGCCTCATTGCCTAGTATAGTTTCTTCTAAATCTTTGCTGCTTGCTATTCAGGTTCCTCACATGTTGGAAAGAATTTTAAATGGAATCAACATAGGTCATAAACTCTGTGACTTGTTATATCATAATGAAGTATGCTGCTGTTTCCAGGTATCCAGTGGCCTCTTAGAACATACTAAATTATCCAAAAAGCATTTATATTTACTAAGGTCCTACTATGTACAAGGCACTCTGTTAGGTGTTATGTGGGCTATGAAATTATGGAATAAATAAAATATATGATTTATCCTATTTGGGAGATTACAGTTTGTTAGCAACTGTGTGTGTGTGTGTGTGTGTGTGTGTGTGTGTGTGTGTGTGTGTAGAAAATTACAGGATACTAAGGATGCTGGGTACAAGCATAACTAGGAGACAGGCAAGGAGGTGGGCAATTTCAGAAAGGCAACCAGTTTGAAATACAAACTTTAAACAGTGCGATAGCCTCTAGAATTCAGAGATACATAAGGTATACTCTTTTTTTTTTAAGAAATTAGCTCTATCCAGGGCTGGCAAATAGGCTGTAATCCTGGGAGATCATGAGTGTCAGGCTAGAGAGTTTGGGTTTTATTCTGATGGGAGTGAATATCCCCTGATAAATTATTTTTGAAGAGGATAGGAAAGAAAGATATAATGTGTTGAAACATCAGTTATAAGGTTATTATAATATTCTATCCCACGAGTGTAAGAATAAAGACTTGAACTAGAAATAGACAGGACAGGTGTAATTTTGCAAGGGGAGAGTCAATGGAACTAGAAAGAACAAGGAGTAAAATATAACTTGGGGGTTTCCAGTCTAGTATCATTCACAAGAGGTGCAGTTATGAGTTTGATTTTGGATTTGTGCTTCAGATGGCACCTGGATGCAGAGATCCAGGTAGAGATGTCTACAAAGATATCTAGAAGTTACAAACAATGATTTAGATTTGAGAGTCACCTTCTCAGAGCTGATTAGTTAACAGTTCTGGGAAGGAATGAGATTACTAAGGTGAATGTGAAGACAGAAGGGAAGAAGACCACACACAGAAATAACCATAGTCCTTACGGCTCCATCTGCAAAAAAAAAAGGCAAGGCAGAATAGGTTCTGAGGCCAAGGTGGAGTCATAAGGAGGTAGTAATCAATAATATCAAGTGTTTCAAGAAAGTCAAAGAGAGTAGTACTGAGAAAGAGCCCGAAGATCTAGGAACCAAGAGATCCTGGTAATCTTTCAAAGACTAGTTTCAGTAGAATGGCAGAAGTGGAGACAAGAGAACAAAGTTAAGGACTGAGTGAATGAGAATAAATTATGTATTTGAAAATTTGGGCTGGACATGGTGGGTCATGCCTGTAATCTCAGCATTTTGGGAGGCCAAGGCAGGATGATCACTTGAGGCCAGGAGTTCAAGACCAGCCTGGGCAACACAGTAAGACTGTGTCTTAGAAAAAAAAAATTTAGGTGTTGAAGGGAAGGAGAGGATAGAAACTCCAGAGTATAAATTAGGTTCCAGGACAATGACACCAATTTTACATTCACACAGTAAGTTTTTAAAATTAAGTGCTAAATGTTACACTTTTATTGCTTACCTGGCAAAGATGAATTCATACAATTCCAAATTTCAACCTAAAAGTGTACCCAACAAAAGGCTTTTATGTAGATAACCAGTTCCTAAATATGACAATTAATTTCTACAGAAATTATGAACAGCTAATTTGATTATGGCTATGTCTACACAGTCAATGTTCTAGAACTACAGGCACATCAATCAGCTATTCGGGGGGAACAAAGCTGAGATACAGAAATATTCCTTGTTCTTTTCCCATCTGAGAGCATTAACGATGAGTCTAGTTACTCAGGATACTTACTGGAATCACTGTTTCCAAGCCTATAGACAAAACTGAAGACTAAAGGGAATGTGTCAGTCAGAACTATTTAATCATCAACTTATTTTCCCCTTCACATAATATAAGCCACCATATCTAAAGAGGCTCTTGCAAACAAACTCACACTTTCTTGGTCTGGCACATGAGCATCCCAAACACTGAGGACAGCCCAAGTATTAGAGACCTTTAAAAGGTCTTAAAGTTACATGATTCAGATAGGTAAGCAATATATCTACAGTATGTCAGAAAATTGGAAGATAATAAGTCATATATTTTCCCTTATCCCAAATTCAATTTTCCAAAATCAAAATAAACAGATTTAGTTATTATAGTTTTCATAAAATTAGTCAAACTATAATAATAAATAAAATTCTAAGTTCCAGATAATTTTTTTTTTTTTTTTGAGACGGAGTCTTACTCTGCTGCCCAGACTGGAGTGCAGTGATGCTATCTCAGCTCACTGCAACCTCCGCCTCCTGGGTTCAAGCAATTCTCCTGCCTCAGCCTCTGGAGTAGCTGGGACTACAGGCGTGTGCCACCATGTCTGGCTAATTTTTGTATTTTTAGTAGAGACGGGTTTCACTATGCTGGCCAGGCTGGTCTCGAAATCCTGACCTCAGGTAATCCACCCGCCTCAGACTCCCAAAGTGCTGGGATTACAGGCATCAGCCACCACGCCCGACCCCAGATAAAATACTATAATGAAATTTAAAGATAGGAACACATTTATATTTAAGATTGTTTTTAGATTTATATCATAGGATAATAAAAGAAGAAAAACAATATTCTATCTAGCAATTTATATGAAGATTTTTTTTAAGTATTTAAGTTAAACTTAACATTTTATTTTGACCACAAATTCCAATCACATTTAAAAATTTGCTAACTCTGAAAGTAATTCATTGGATAGTTTCATTTAGACAGAAGCTTCTACAGTTAAGTTACAATAAGACTTACCATTGTCTCTGGGCAATAATCTGGGGCTCGCTGCAACAGATGTTTTAGTCGGGATTCACTTTTTGAGGAGAAAATCTATTTGACAAAAAAAAAAAAGTTTTTGTGGCATTTTTCTATAAGAAATAAGAAGAGGTAAAACTTATTATCCTCTAGATTTATCAGTTGTCTAGAATATTTTCCAACTTCCTTTTTATTTTATTTATTTATTTTTAAATTTTTATTTATTTATTTATTTATTTATTAATTATTATTATACTTTAAGTTTTAGGGTACATGTGCACAATGTGCAGGTTAGTTACATATGTATACATGTGCCATGCTGGTGCGCTGCACCCACTAACTCGTCATCTAGCATTAGGTATATCTCCCAGTGCTATCCCTCCCCCCTCCCCCCACCCCACAACAGTCCCCAGAGTGTGATGTTCCCCTTCCTGTGTCCATGTGTTCTCATTGTTCAATTCCCACCTATGAGTGAGAATATGCGGTGTTTGGTTTTTTGTTCTTGCGATAGTTTACTGAGAATGATGATTTCCAATTTCATCCATGTCCCTACAAAGGACATGAACTCATCATTTTTTATGGCTGCATAGTATTCCATGGTGTATATGTGCCACATTTTCTTAATCCAGTCTGTCATTGTTGGACATCTGGGTTGGTTCCAAGTCTTTGCTATTGTGAATAATGCCGCAAAAAACATAGTGTGCATGTATCTTTATAGCAGCATGATTTATAGTCCTTTGGGTATATACCCAGTAATGGGATGGCTGGGTCAAATGGTATTTCTAGTTCTAGATCCCTGAGGAATCGCCACACTGACTTCCACAATGGTTGAACTAGTTTACAGTCCCACCAACAGTGTAAAAGTGTTCCTATTTCTCCACATCCTCTCCAGCACCTGTTGTTTCCTGACTTTTTAATGATTGCCATTCTAACTGGTGTGAAATGGTATCTCATTGTGGTTTTGATTTGCATTTCTCTGATGGCCAGTGATGGTGAGCATTTTTTCATGTGTTTTTTGGCTGCATAAATGTCTTCTTTTGAGAAGTGTCTGTTCATGTTCTTTTATTTTATTTATTTTTTTAAGACAGAGTCCCATTCTATCACCCAGGCTGGGGTGTAGTGGTGTGATCTCAGCTCACTGTAACCTCCACTTCCCAGGCTGAAGCAATTCTCCAGCCTCAGCATCCCAAGTAGCTGGGACCTTGGGCATGAGCCACAAATGCCAGGCTAATTTCTGTATTTTTTTGTAGAGACAGGGTTTCACCATGTTGCCATGGCTGGTCTTGAACTCCTAAGCTCAAAGCGATCCGCCCGCCTCAGCCTCCCAAAGTGCTGGGACCACACGCATGAGCCTCCGTGCCTGGCTCCTTTTATAAGTGGAAAACCTTCAGAATGATCTAAGTTAAGCTGAGGTAACATTTCTTAAAAAGCATTGATTAGTTTCGCAAATAAGCAAGAAAAGTCCAAATACAGCAAGTCTAGACCCTTTTCTATTGACCAAAAAAAGTGGAGAAACCCAGGCTACCAACCTGTTTAGAGGCTGGGGGTTAGAGAGCGAGAGAAGGAAGAAAAAAAAGATAAGTTTATTCTAAACTGTTCTTAATTACTTTTAGTCAACTGGTAACAATGAAAAATAGACTGTCATCAAACCCGTGATACTGGTGAAGATCAAATTCATAAACAGCATTATGGCACATAAATTCTCCATAAAATGCTGTAAGATAGAAACAAAGCTTTTTTTTTTTTTTTTAATTGATGCTGATGAGCTGACAAAGGTTCACTCACCAAGCCAAATGGCTCACTTCCAAATAGGACGTTATGCAATTACAATTTGGTGTTTCAGTAAATAATAAATCATTACACATATCAGACAGACCTTCATGATTACCTGCAAATAGCTGAGACGGTAAAATCCATGAATGCTATGGACAGTGAAAAAGGATTTATCTCCAGTTAGCTTATTTATTAGCCATTTTCCTCCAAAACTACCAACTACAATTAAGAAGTGAAAAGAGATAGAATATCACTATTTTGCAACGCCTAGTGAATTAATGCATTTAGACAATTATCACAATGACTGTTAACATCACAAAAAGAGACATTTTTGGGGGAAGACTTAAACAAAACTAAGTCTCTGGATCTGGCTAAGGTAGCTGTTAGCCATGTGTGGGTATTTAAACTTAAATCAAGTAAAATTAAATAAAATTAAAAATTAAAGTTCCTCAGTCTCTTTAAGCACATTTCAAGTGTTCACCTGGCACATGTGGCTAGTGGCTACCATATAGGTCTAGAATATTTTCATCATTGTAGAAAGTGTCATTGGATAGCTCTGCTCTAAATCTAACTGCCAATTACTAAGAAACACAGAGGAAAAAGGAAAATGTTAAACGACACCAGGGGGATGTGAATAGCAAAGTTTGGACTATGGGAAACTCTATAGGACAAATGATCAAATTAATTCATCAAATAAATTGCAAGGAGAAACCTACAGATCAAAAGATATTTAAAAAACATATAACCAACTGCAATACATATATATCACTTGAATTCTGATCCAAACTAAAAAAACCTTTTAAATAATTAAGAAATCTGAATAACTAGATTTTTGAATATTACATTTTCAAAGAAGTAATAACAGTATTGTGGTTATTTTTTTTTTAAATGACATATCATTTGTAGCTCCAAACTGAAGCTATGGATCAAATAATATGACAATTGAGATTTTGCTGCTACATAAATTTGCCTCAGTATAGTGGGGAAAGTAAAAGGAGATTTAAATGAAACACAACTGGTCATGACTTAATAATATTGAAGCTGAATATGGGGGTTTATTACACTTTTCTCTCTACCTTTGTATATACTTAAAATTTTCTATTATAAAAAGACAAAAGGAAGAGTGAAAGAAAAGAAAAATCGATTGAAAAAGACAATAATGAAAGATAAGAAAGAATGGAAAAGAGAAAGAGGAAGAAAAAACGAAAGATATGACATTGGTAGCAGACTAGGAAAAAGCACAGGGAAGGCTATGCTCTCTCACTCATTTCTTCTTCCTGCAATTCCATCTCCCCTCAACAACAACAAAAACAAACAAAAAAGGCAAAAAACCTACAAGTACTTGAAACAGGTTAGAACAATGGAAAGAATATAGAACTGAGAGTTGGAAATACACTCTGAATACCACTGGGCAAACTACTTGGCCTCATAGGAGGTAGTTATATCCTGGTGGCTAAGGGTATGGACTTCGTAATCAGACACATTTGAGTTTGAGTCCCTGTTCCTCAACTAATTGGCTTGGGACCTTGGTAAGTTATTTAAGTCTTCTATATTTCAATTTCTTTACCTATAATATACAAATAATGACAATACCTTTTTCAAGGGCTGGGTGTAAGAATTAAATGAAATAATGCATGTAAAGGGGTATAGTAAAGGGCATGGCACTTAGGGAAAAGTGTAAAATAAAATTTAGGTCCCAGTTTCTGGTTTCCTGAATAGCTAATAAGCAAAATTAAAAAGTTAGATAATCTATTGGGTCCCTTCTGTCTCTAAAATTATGATCCCATAAAGTAGAATGAATTAAACTGATAAACACATACTTATTAGAAATACATTTAGCTTAAATAAACCAGCAGGTACTATGTAAACTTTCAGATAATAAGGTAGACTTGAATATAAAGTCACTTTTCTTGCTAAACAACTAGTAATCACACTTAAAAAGAAAGATGAATGCTTATTCAGAATACATACTAGAATATATACTATAATTATACAAATCATCTCAGAGCAAAAAATTTAATAACCAAACTTGTATGCCACTCAAGGCAGAAATTATCAGACCATAGGGTTTACAGTCTTGAATTCTGAGAAGTTTTTTACCCATACTTATCTCCTTCCTCTGTTATAACTCATTTTTCCTTTGTCTTTAAACAAGTAAAAACCTTCCATCTTGAAACTAATCTTTACTTCCTGCACTTACTAACTTTTCCAGCTTTTTCCTTTCATTGTACCCATTTCTTCACCAATCAACTCAAAAATATTAACTAATTAGTTTGCATGAGCAGGGACATGAATACAACATAGGCAAATGAGACACAATCCCTATATTCAAGGAATTCATAATATATACAGGTAAGACATATACAAAAACTGAATACATTTTTGTAAGTCCAAAAAATTACATAACTGTAAATATTTTTATTAAAAAATTTTTAATGCCTGCAGTGTGACTTTTAGCTCCCTTGCTCCAGTTGATCTACAAATATTTATTGAGAGTTTTGAGTGTTAGATACTGTTTTAACTGTTCTAGGCACCACGGAATTCATCATAAACAAAGCAAACAAAAATCCCTGCTGCAGGGAGATGTTTTTAAAATCTCCACTAATTGGCTTTTTTTTTTTTTTTTTTTAAACTAAGGGCCTTTTCTCAGATCTCAAACTCCTTGACTTTTCTTTGGCATCTGACACTGCTGACAGTTTCACTGTAAACCATCACACATATTTTGCTGAATATGATAAGCTACCAGCCCTGACTTCTTATCTAAATTCTAATTCCAAAAGTTTTAATTCCAAATCCCTATCTTCACATAGTGGTTTTCACTGATAATTCAACAGCTCACCTTCTCCTCAAACCATATCTTTTCCCTAACCTCCTAGAGTCATCAAGAATGCTGTTTACTCAGTTCAAAATCTAAATGTCATCAAGACTCCATCCTGTCTGCATTCCCTACTGGTTGAAGAAATAATGATTCCTCACTCACAGCATTTCCTTCTCTTTGAAGTGAGCTCTACGAGTTTTAACAGCCCTGGTCTCTCTCCACACCCCTGATACACTTCTCCCATGATCAGGATGGCGACTTAGCCGACCATTGAGTTTAGTAGGGGAAAGTAAACATATGTAACACAGCCCTTACCTCTCCTCCTCTGGGAGTAAGTCTAATTCTGTCACTTAGTGTGTGCCTAGAGATAAAAGTCACATTCGACATCTGTGTAACCAGTAATAGGAGTAATATTTTTGGACCTATCTGCCTTATTTCTCAATTAGTTAAGAACTTGGTTGGGGAAGAATGTTCTTTATTAGGGTGACTATAGTATTCAATTAATTTGCTAAGTTATATAATTTCTAGCATTCCAGATTTTAAGAAATTAGACCTTGCCTGCTGCTGGTGCCTCATTACAAGATACCTCCTAAAAATCATTCACCCTATAGAACATCAGTAGAAAAAGCAAGAAACAAAGTGAAAAGTCAGGTAAGTCATGTTTCCCAAAGTAGCAGAACTACTTTAAAAGCTTCCTTATGATATCATCAAGGGGCCATTTTTGCTTTAAAAAGCTATTCTTCTGGCAGTAAATGTGCAGCAAACTTAATTTGCAATAGTGATTTGACATGTCACTGAATTCTCCGGTAGCCATTTAGATGAGCTGAATCAGTGTCATGTCTTATAATCAGACCGTATCTTGCAAAATCTTTCTACGTCTACATTATTATTGCTTATGAGAAGTTATAGTCCCAGTTAAGTAGTTCTCTCAGTTTTAAAAATAACAAGATCCAGGTTATTACTTGAAGACTCCTCTAAAAGATGATTGAGACTATTGTTTCTCGAGTGCTAAGGCTAGACATACATGACCAAGCCTGAAAGAAAGGTAGGGCTTTATGAATGGGTAGTGCTTCAGTGGAACTTTCATAAACAGGTTCAACCAGAAAAATTCAAACCTACAGACAACTTTTAAGAATAGCACAGTGAATACCTACATGGTCTTCATCAAGATGCACCCATCCTAAACACTTTGCAACATTTGCTTTAATTCTCTGTATATATACACAAACTATTATTACATACTATTATTTTGAAGGACTATGTTAGCATTTGTTATAGACATTATGTTCATTCATTCCTAAATCCTAGTATGTATCTCCTAAGAACAAGGACACCATCACACCCAACCACAATATAATCACCAAATTCAGGATCACAGTATTGGTATAATACTACTATTTAATATCCAGTCTATATTCAAATTTTACCAATTTATCCTGATAATGTCCTTTATAGCAATTTTCTTTCATTCCAGGATCCAATCCAGGATCACAAATTGCATTTTGTTGTCACATCTCTTTAGTTTCCTTTAATCTGTAACAGTTTCTTAGCCTTTCTTTGTTTTTATAACACTGACATTTTTAAAGAGTACAGGCGCTGATGTTTTGAGGAATATTCCTCAAACTGGGTTTGCCCGACTACTTCTTCATAATTCAAATTATGCAATTATAATATTTTCCTTCTCAGTGTATCATGTCAGCAGACAGTCACTTTGCCCCATTATTGGTGATGTGAACCCTGGACAATTAGTTAAGGTACTATCCAACAGACTTCTCCAAAAACAATTATACTTAATAAATAGTTGTATAACTAGTAGCCTCTATAATTTTATTTTTATTTTTTAGAGACAGGGGTCTTGCTATGTTGTCCTGGCTGGTCCTGAACCCCTGGCCTTAAGCAATCCTCCCACCCTGGCCTCCCAAAGTGCTGGGATTACAGGCATGAACCACTGTGTCTGGCTGCCTCTGTAATTATTATGTAATCTTACCTGTTCACATACATCACGGCACATTTGGTTATCCTTTGAATGATTACAACACAATGCACCTAGGGAGAAAAAATAAACATCAAATGTTGTTCCACTGTTAAACAAGATGACTAAGCTAATTCAGATGGTTACACAAACCATTTATTCAGTAGATGATGATTATTATTATTATTAATTTTAACTCAACAAACCTTTACTGAGCACCTATTACAAGTCAAGGACAGTGTTAGGTTTGAGGACATGGTCCCTGTCCTCAAGAAGCTTGCAGTCTAATAGGGGAGACTGTCATGTAATAATAATAGCTACTATTTAGTGTGTGCTTTCTATGTCCCAGAATTTGACTAAGTTTGTTGTATGCATTTTCTTATCTAATCCTTACAATTACCATATGGACTAGAGCTATTTTTAAACCAATAATAAAAAGTCAACTGATAAAAAGATAGTGAATTTTGTTTTGAGCATGTGAATCTGAGGTTCCTATAGAATATCCTGATGGAAATTCCAGTAAACTCAGAAATTCAGGCCTGGAGTGCAGGTAAAGCCAAGCCTAAAGATCCAAATTTGGAACTCATCAGCATAAAGGAGTATATGGAAATGAATGATATTGTCTAGGGAGAGTTTCTAGTGAGAAGAGAACATAGCATCAGATTCTAAAGAAGAGTAACATCTGAGATATGGAAAGAAAGGAAAGAGACTGAGATGGAATAGTCAGAAAGGCAGGTTAACCGTGAGAGTGGCATCACAGGAGGAGTAGTGTCATGCACCACAAGAGTCAAGTTAGACTGAAGAATGAAAAAAGGAAATGGGTTTACTAATTAGCCACTTGGTGAGCTTCACAGGTTCTTTCTGTGGAACTGGTAGAAGTGAATGATATTAAGGAGTAAACCACAGGTGAGTAAGTACAGACATCAAAAATAGAGTCATAAGAAGTCTAGCAACGATGGGAAGGAAACAAAGTAGTAATTATACAAAGATGCAAGGTTCCAAGATTTTTTCTCCCTTTTTCAGAGTGGAAAAGACTTGACCTTCTTTACAGACAGAAAAGAGCAGTAGAGAGCTAATGTTCCTCTGACAGAACAAGTCTCAAGAGGACTCCAAAGGGGATAAAACCAAGTGTTTATGAGAAGGCACTATCCCTGGAAAGAAACAGGGAATACTTCTTCTTCCAAGATATTTATCAACTTAAAAAAATTTTATGAGCAGCTTAAGTACTAGGCACTGATCATTCATTCAAAAAAACATAAGTCTGTTCTCTTGAAACTTAAAGAGCAGATATTAAACTATATATGTATATATACACATACATATATATATATGGAGACAGAGAGAGAGAATACGAATGTGAAATGGTGGTAAATGTTATGGCAATAATAAAACAAGTTAAAGAGTAAGGAGGATGTGTGTGTGGAAGTGAGTGGGTATTTTATAGGGCAGGCTAGGAAGGCTTCACTGAAAAGGTGTCACTCAAGCAGATACCATAAAGTAAGGGAACGAGCCACAATGAATTTTCCAAAAGGCAGAAACAGCAAGTGCAAAGTTTCTGGTGTGTTCAAAGAAGAGCAAAGAGTGTGGCTAGAAAAGAATGACTGAAGGGTAGAGTAGGACATAATGCGATCAGAGAGGGGGACCAGATCATACAGGTCTCTATAGGCCATGGTAAGAACTTTGGCTTTTACTCTGAGAAGGATGGAAAACCACCCACGGGTTTTGAGCAGCATGTCATAATCAGAATAACATTTTAAAAAGACCACTCTGGTTCCTGTGTTAAAAATATAATACACAGGAGTAAGGGAGGAAACACTAATAGGCTATTGAAGTAGTCTTGATAAGAGACTGTAGTGTCTTCAACTAGGGTGGCAGCAGTGGAGATGGTATTAAGTAGTCCGAATCTGGATATATTATGAATATAAAGCTGACAGGATATGCTAATGGATTGGAAGTGAAATATGGAAGAAAAAGAATTAAGAATGACTGTAAGGTTTTTGGTCCAAGAAAGTGGGAAAACAGAAATATCTAGAAATACCATTAACTGAAATGGAAAAGACTAAGGGAGGAGATCTCAGAGAGAGAGAGATGATCAGAAATTCAGTTTTAGATATAATTTTGAGATGCCTATTATATATCTAAAATAATATACTGAGTAGGGAGTTGAATATATGAGTTCGGGAAGACTCCAAACTGGAGATGGGAATTTGGGAGACACACTATGTAGATGATATTTAAAGCCATGATGGCATCTGGGGAAGGACAAGATCTGAGAACTGAGCAATGCATTCCCTCCTTCAGAGACAGGTGAGAACGGTCAATGTATGGGAAGATAATTAAGAGAAAGAATGGTGTCCAAAAAGCCAAATAAAATGTTTCAAGAAGATGTTAACCATGTTAGATACTGCTATCAAGTAATAAGGATTTCAAACTGATCACAGTACTTGGCAATGTGGAAGATATTGATGATGACCTTAAATAAATGTTATCAATGTGAAATAAAGGGCAAAAGCCTGACTGCAGTGAGTTCAAGAGACAATTCAAGAAAATACAGACAATTCTTTTGAGGAAGTCTACTTTTGAGCAGTTGTAGAACACTGTATAATAAATAATTTGACTGGCCTTTCTCCCTGGTTCCTGGGAGGGAGACTCTAAATCACCGGAATTTCCCGAGTAATAGGAGTGTCTTTGTTATGCTAACAAGGTGACCCATGGTCTCACCTATCAAGCTTGCCCAAACGGTGGCCCATGGGCTGCATGTGGCCCAGGCCCAGCTTTGAATGTGGTTCAACACAAGTTGGTAAACTTTCTTAAAACATTACGAGATTTTTTTTTTTTTGCATTAGTGTTAGTGTATTTTACATGTGGCATAAGACAATTCTTCCAGTGTGGCCCAGGGAAGCCAAAAGATTAGACACCCCTGACCTAGATAGTTTCAGGATGGAGGCTGGCAACACCAGAAAGAACAGCCATGTGTTTAAAGAGCTGGGGCTTTTAGCCACATGGTATCAACCTGATCTCCCAACTTCCAGGGATTGAAGGGGGATTGCAGATTGATCTCAACCATATGACCAATAATTCAATCAAGTATGCCTATGTAATGAAACCCCAATCAATACTCTGGACATAGAAGCTCAGTGGAGCTTTCCTGGTTGAACACATTGATGTACTGGGAAGATGATGCACCTGATTCCATAAGAGGACATAGAAGCTCTGCATTCCCTCCTAGATCTCACCCTATGAGGCTCTTTATTTGACTGGTCCTCCTGAATTGTACCCCTTATATTAAAACCATTATTTAAAGTATAGTGCTTCCCAGAGTTCTGTGAGTTGGTCTAGCAAATTATTGAACCTGAGGGGGTCATGGGAACCGTGGATTTATAGCCAGTTGGTCAAAAGTGTGGGTGGCCTGGGGACCCTTGAACTAAAGCTAGTGTCTGGATTAAGGGCAATCTTGTTGGGGACCATGCCCTTTAACTTGCGGGGTAGATGCTGATTCTGGGTGGCAGAACTGAATTACATTATATCCAGTTGGAAGTAAAACAGAATATAGAGAAATGAGGTGGTTCCTGGAAGGGCATGTGGGTTTTAAAAGAGGCACTGTGTTTAGGAATAGGGATACAATAGTGAACAAAAGTTATGCTCTCTAACTTCACCCAGGTTACCACCTGGTAGTAGGACAAAATCTAGACAAGAGTAAAGAATTCAAGGACACCGATAAATTAACAGGGAAATTGACAGCACCTCATTTTCTCAGTGAAATAGTGATTAGATCTGAAAATAGATAGGGCTGAGATAGGGTTGGGGGCTTGAGTTGAAATTATAGAGGCCTGAAACAGCCACTTTGGAAAATAGAGAAAGGAAACAACTATAAATATGTTTCTCAAACCTGTGTTCAAAACAACACTGCTTCATCAACTTAGAGAAAGAAATGTCAAATTAGAGAAAAGGAAAAAGGTTGCCAAGCAGCATTATGGCTCCAGAGGAATTCATAAATTGGCTATAGCGATAATCATCAGAGGCATGTAACTGTTGTAGAGCGCAGAAGACTGAAAAGAGGATAGAGTTGGCATTGTCAGCAGCTGTCTAGAATTGGCAAGTCAAAAGACACAGGAGGGAAAAATACTACATTTCAGGCAGGTAGATCTGGTACAATGGTTTAAAACACCTGTTTTTACATATATATATATATATATATATATATATATATATTCAACCTGTGTGTCTGTGCGTGTGTATGCAACATAATCCTCTCTTCAAATGAAATCTGTACAACTTCAGTATACATATTAGATAAAAGTAGAACTTTTTTTATTGAAAAGTAGGATTGGTATTGAGGAGAAATGAATGAGTAAACAAATGAATAAAAGAAGTCCTCTTCAGATCTTACCAACCAAGTTTCTAAGTTTTAAACTGGAAATCACTTTTCCATAAAACAACGACAGGGTCTAGGATGTTACTGCCATATTACTATAGATCAGTTTCATAAAAGACTTGTGGGGTTAGCTAGCCTTTTTTTTTTTTTTTTTGAGACTGGCTTTCTAATACTATTTCTATGTCAAAACATGTCTTGAAGTTCTAAACATTTGGTTTACAAAATTCTGAAGGACACATAAAAATTTCACTACATTTCAGAAGAAAAAAAAGGTGCCTTGATTGTAGTAAGGCTGTAGTTACTTTCTATGAAGGGCTAACACAAGGGAGGACCGAAGCACTCATAAGGGTTTTTGTTTTTTTTGAGAGTCTTGCGCTGTCACCCAGGCTGGAGTGGAGTGGTGCAGTCTTGGCTCACTACAACCTCCACCTTCAAGTGATTCTTGTGCTTCAGCCTCCCAAGTATTAATAGCTGGGATTACAGGCATGCACCACCATGCCCGGCTAATTGTATTTTTAGTAGAGATGGGGTTTTGCCATATTGTCTAGGCTGGTCTTGAACTCCTGGCCTCAAGTGATCCGCCCACCCTGGCCTCCCAAAGTGCTGGGATTACAGGTATGAGCCACCACACCTGGCCGACGCTTTCTTATAACAACTCCTCTGCAATGCCACACGAAACTACATCCATCTCCTAAGACTCTGCTATGTCCCTACCCTCATTAGACTGGGAGGATAGTCAGGAAAAAAGGCTCTCCTGAGTGACACTGATGTGCTCTTTTGAAGAGCTCTAGAAGTTGGCACTTTCTACTACTAGCCTCTAACACAAAGTTCATGTGAGGGCAGAAAATCCTGCTGGTCGTAAGCAAAGGTAATTCAAGATAACATATGGTCCCAATAAACAGAAAAAGGCTCAGCAAAAAGTAAACAATCAGGCAGACAGGAGTCTGATTTGGACCTAGGGATTTTTGAAAAACAATTTCTTGGAGCAAAGGTCTATTTCAAACAGAAACACAAAATGTGTTATAATTAAAACTCCACTAACAGAGGTCTTACTAAAAATATAACTATAAAAGCCTTTTTTTCCAATTAAATGGTGAAGGTCAAATCTATAGGGGAGTATCCCTCAAAGTTAAATTTTTAAAATAATTCTTTTTTTCATTTAAAAAACCTCAAAAATTTGGAAAACAAGAAGAAAAAGAAAAATTATATTTCCACTGTCCTGCCACAACATCTGTTGACATTTTGGCATATATTCCTTCTAGTCTTTCCAAAAGACTTTTTGATACTTCTGACAAAATGGGATGAAAGAGGGAAGCCTAAAGTCTTCTGGTAATAACTTCTTTCCTCCTCCCAACCAAATGTTCTTCTGTAACAGCATATGTCTTCTCTTGAGGGCATTGCCACTCTCCACGAACAGGACAGGGGACCTCTGCTCCGTCACATTTTCTACACTCTCTTCTTACCCTTAGCCATTATTGTATCTGCACACATTTTTCTTCCTTTGAAATAGCTAAAGCTTATTAGAATCTTTAACGTTGCATATTTTTCAAGAAATAAATGTCTACAAATAGACATCCATTCATATGACTTCGTTATCAATGGGAGAAGAATTCAAATGCAATTAATGTGGCATTTAAGGGTCTTTATCTTTTTCAGAGCAACTAAAAGGGATTAATTGGGTCATTCAACTATTACAATACAACAAAACAAAACAAAACTCTCCCAGGCCTAATGCTTTCTATAAGAGAAGATAATGAATTCTAGACATATTCTGGGTTTATAATTTGATCCTAACATATTCTTCAAGAATAATAGTTTAAAACTCTGCTTATTTTCATAAAATGGAATTGAACAGATAAAGATGGAATGATTCAAAATAAAATTTGACACTGCTATGATGAAAATAAAAAACACAGGTGTTATCTTCATTAAAGACATCAGTATGAGTGTCGTATCTTGCATTCTTATTCCAATAGTCTGTGATTATAAAATAAAAATTAAAAATTGATTACTAAAGGCCACATTTTTTGGGCTTAAGAAGGTATTAGTGTAGCCTGAAAATATGCAAGCAGAATTATCCAATAATTAGAAACATCGAGTTTCAGCTGCTGGTTTTGGCCATGTGTATACTAAAGACAGGCAAGTAAGCAGGAAGCACATGCTCCAGCCACATGCAGAAAAACGCAGCTTCTAAAGCCAACTAGCTTTAAAAAAACAAATACACACCCTAATCCAAAACTAAGAAATATCCATAGAATTATAGGATTTTTGAAGTTAAAAGGGATTTTTGCCACAGATGTCTCACAAAAGCTATAATTCAGTTGGTTAATGAAAAGCAATTCTTGTTTCCTAAAAAAAAAAAAAAAAGATTCCCTCTAATTAATGTCTCCCTAAAGAACAACTAAAACAGTGTGTATGTGTATAAATATATATATACACACACATATACATACATAGATGTGTGTGTGTGCACGTGCATTGAGTGTGTATTACACACTTCAGGAGAAAAAAACTAAATCTGAGTTGATACTGGAAAAAGATCATTCAAATTTAAAAAATTAATTTAAAAATCTGTTTTTTAATGTAAAATCTTATTTTTAATCAAATTTTAATTTTCAAAACAACTTGGAAAATGACAATCACTTAAAAAACATTTAAATGAGAACTGCAACTTTAACTTATAAATACATTCATGAAATTGTCACATTTAACCCTTTAAAAATATACACGTGGGTATATCTGCATAAAGTATACAGTCAGCCAAGGAAGCGCCAAATAGTGAGAGGATTACCCACATACTCACCACCTCAATTCAACACTGCTAACATCTTGTCATACTGCCATATCTATCTGTATGTATGTATGGATAGATACATATTTTGTTTTTTTCCCGAATCATTTGCAAGTTACATACATCCTTCTCCACTGCTTGCCTCATATTGCACTGCTGCAGCAGCCAATTATATTAAGTCAATTGTAGTACCAATATGACTGCCAGATTACTTTTTTTAACAGACCTTTCATGACATCCCTCTTCTAATCAAGGTCCTACAATGGCTTCCTGCTATTCCAATTCTAAAATTTCAAAGTCTTTCTCTAGCCTTCCCTTCCCTAAACTTCTATTACTTTTAGCAAAGAAAATCTACACTTACCTAGAATGCAGTCCTCTGCCTGAAATGCTTGATGCCCACTTCCTGCTGACTCCAAACATATTGCAAGGCTTAACTATCATCTTAATTCTTAGTAAGCCTTTCTTCTCCAACAACTCTAGGCCATGTTGATGTTTTTGTTATTTAAGACCCTACTATTCTAGTGAGAGTAGGAAACTTTAACACTTAACTCTTCTCTAATCATTTCATGTGGGTTCTCTTGGTATCCCCAGATTGATTGTAAGCTTCTTGGTACAATTAGCACAGTGCTCAGCTCAAAAATTAGATTCACTGACTAATAAAGAATAATGGAAGTCCTAGCCAGAGCAAATAGACAAGAGAAAGAAATCAAGGGCATCCAAATTGGTAAAGAGGAAGTCAAACTGTTGCTGTTTGCCGATCATATGATCGTATACCTAGAAAACCCTAAAGACTCATCCAAAAAGCTCCCAGATCTGATAAACGAATTCAATAAAGTTTTAGGATACAAAATCAAGGTATAAAATCAGTAGCACTGCTATACACCAACAGTGACCACTCTAAGAATCAAATCAAGAACTCAACCTCTTTTATAATAGCTGCAAAAAAAAAAAATAAAATAAAATACTTAGGAATATACCTAACCAAGGAGGTGAAAGAATTCTACAAGGAAAACTACAAAACACTGCTGAAGGAAATTACAGACAACAGAAACAAATGGAAACATATCCCATGCTCACGGATGGGTAGAATCAATATTGTCAAAATGACCATACTGCCAAAAGCAATAGACAAATTCAATGCAATTCCCATCAAAATACCATCATCATTCTTCACAGAACTAGAAAAAACAATTCTAGTTCCTAAAATTTGAATTTCAATCCTAAAATTCAAATGGAAGCTTCAAATTATACTATAAGGCTATAGTCACCAAAACAGCATGGTACTTGTATAAAAATAGGCACATAGGAACAGAATAGAGAACCCAGAAATAAAGCAAAATACTTACAGCCAACTGATCTTCGACAAAACAAATGAAAACGTAAAGTGGGGAAAGGGCATCCTACTCAACAAATGGTGCTGGGATAATTGGCAAACTGTATGTAGAAGAATGAAACTGGATTCTCATCTCTCACGTCATACAAAAATCAACTCAAGATTGATCAAGACTTAATTCTAAGACCTGAAACTGTAAAAATTCTAGAAGATAACATCGGAAAAACCCACCTAGACATTGAATTAGGCAAAGACTTTATGACCGAGAACCCTAAAGCAAAAGCAACAAAATCAAAGATAAATACATGGGACTTAATTAAACTAAAAAGCTTCTGCACAGCAAAAGAAATAATCAGCAGAGTAAACAGATAACCCACAGAGTGGGAGAAAATCTTTGCAAACTATGCATCTGACAAAGGACTAATATCCAGAATCTACAAGGAACTCAGACAAATCAGCAAGAGAAAAACAAACAGTCCATTAAAAAGTGGGCTAAGGAGCCGGACTCGGTGGCTCACGCCTGTAATCCCAGCACTTTGGGAGGCCGAGGCGGGTGGATCAGGAGGTCAGGAGATTGAGACCATCCTGGTTAACATGGTGAAACCCCGTCTCTACTAAAAACGCAAAAAAAAAAAAAAAAAAAAAAAATTAGCCAGGCGTGGTGGCAGGCGCCTGTAGTCCCAGCTACTCGGGAGGCTGAGGCAGGAGAATGGCGTGAACCCGGGAGGCGGAGCTTGCAGTGAGCCGAGATCACGAGATGCACTCCAGCCTAGGCAACAGAGCGAGACTCCGTCTCAACAAAAAAAAAAAAAAAAAAAAAAAAAAAAAAGTGGGCTAAGGACATGAATAGACAGTTCTCAAAACAAGATATACAAATGGCCAACAAACATATGAAAAAATGCTCAACATCACTAATTACCAGGGAAATGCAAATCAAAACCACAATGCAATACCACCTTACTCATGCAAGAATAGCCATAATTAGAAAATAAAAAAATAACAGATGTGGGAGTGGATGTGGTGAAAAGGGAACACTTTTACATTGCTGGTAGGAATGTAAATGAGTATAACCACCATGGAAAACAGTAGGGAGATTCCTTAAAGAACTAAAAGTAGATCTACCATTTGATCCAGTAATCCCACTACTAGATATTTATCCAGAGGAAAAGAAGTCATATGAAAAAGACACTTGCACACGCATGCTTATAGCAGCACAATTAGCAACTGCAAAAATATGGAAGCAGCCCAAATGCCCATCAATCAACAAGTGGATAAAGAAAATGTGGTAGATGTGTGTAGCAGCACAATTAGCAATTGCAAAAATATGGAATCAGCCCAAATGCCCATTGGATAAAGAAAATGTGGTATATGTGTACACACACACACACACACACACACACACACACACACACACACTATGGAATACTACTCAGCCATAAAAAGGAATGAAATAATGGCATTTGCAGCAACCTGTATGAAGTTGGAGACCATTATTCTAAGTGAAGTAACCCAGGAATGAAAAACCAAACATTGTATGTTCTCATTTATCAAGTGGCAGCTAAGCTATGAGGACACAAAGGCATAAGAACAATACAACGGACTTTGGGGACTCGGTGGCAGCAGGGGAAGAGTGAGCGGGGGATGAGGGATAAAAGACTGCACATTGGGTACACTGTAGTGATGGGTGCACCAAAATCTCAGAAATCACCACTAAAGAACTTATTCATGTAACCAAATACCACCTGTTCCCCTAAAACCTACTAAAAAAAAAAGTAGTAATATCCTATAGTTATACAATGTCTTTTTAACAGGAAAAAAGTACAAAAAAATTTCTCTCACTATATTAATACTATTTCAGTACCATATTTCATATGGTAACTCACCTATAATTTAGAAAACATCATATGATTTTTAAATCAAAAGATAAATTGGACTAAATCATACTCAGGTAAGAGGCAGGCAGCCAGTTGGTGGTGGGCTCTGCAGCTATAAGGTCAAGAAGAGCTGAGGCTGGGAAGCTGACATTTTATGAGGGTGTGGAAACTATGTGCAAAAAAAAAAAAAAAAAGGAAGCTGATTGAGGGAGAGAGGAAACTGGAAGAGATGCACAGAGAGAAGCCATGTGAGATAAAGACTGTCTCTAAAAGAACACACGGGAAGTCTAATTTCCTGTCAGTCTTGGTTCCTGTCAACTTTCTAGTTCCTGTAGCAGTCCCTGAGGTAGAGATGTGCTGAATTTCCTACCCTTGGCTTTCCATGTGATTTCCTGTTAAATGCTATATAACCAGCCCCCTAATCCTGACTTATTTTGGGTTTTGTTCCTTAGAGTCAAAAGAGCTGTAACCTAGACATTGATCATTATGAAACAACTAAAGCAAATGACTCTTCTGAAGTCCTCTTCAACAGTCAGTATTTTTAGATAATTCCCTTCCCCACTGCAGCAGGGCTCCCATCTCTAAACAAAGGATCTAAAAGTATAGCTCCCAATTATCTCATGGTCAGAACACATCTCTTAATACTCCACTTATAGTCTTGTTCAAGTTACCTATGTGCTTTACAGCATCCATCATACTATGTGCTATATACCTGATGAAACCATATGCTTTTTCCTCAAATATATTCTTCAGATTTAGGATATAAATAGGTATGTACTAATATAACCACATAATATTAGCCATGTAGGTATTATACATTTTGGGGTGAATTTCCTGTCTGAATTTCCCACTAAACTTAAGCCCCTATTTTTGCTTACCACTTTATACCTCTGCCTATCACAGTGTCTGTCAGTATTAATAGTTTAATAAATATTTGCTAAATGGATTACTCACAAGTATGGAATTTGGCTTAATAAGCAATGGCCCTAGTGCAATTATTACTAATATTCATCCTAAACATGTACAAAAATAGAACTTTTTATTCTCTCCTTTCCTTACCTTACAACCCTCCTCCAAAATGCTCTTCCTCCATCTTCCCTACTTCAGTAAATGGCATCAACTTTTATTAAATTGCTCATGATTAAAAAAAAAACCTATGAGTAATCCTTAATTCCTTCTTCCCTCACTTCCCACATCTAATCCATCAGCAACATATTTTAAATATCCCCTCTCCTATCTCCACACCACTCTACTCTTGAGTCAACCCTTATCTCCTGCTTGAACTACTGCAATGGCCTTCTAGTCATCCTGCTTATACTCTTACCCCACTACAATAATTTTTTTCATTCAGCAGCAATACTGATCTAAAATAGAAATAAAATCATACCACTCTTACTTAAAACTCTATTGGTTTCTATCTGTGCACAGAATAAAATCCATAATCCTTATGTGGTTTTTTGCAATGCTCTGCACCATCTAGCCCTAGCATACTCTGTTGGTCACTACATTCCAACCATATAACCTTTTGTTCCTTATGCCTTAAGGCTTCTGCACTTCCTGGACCTCACCCCTGTCTTTCATAAGACTACCCACCACCTTCTCAGCCTTCGGATCTCAGTTCTAAACTTTACCTTCTCAAAGAGGCAGCTCTTATAAACTCTTTTGAAGTTCTTTTACACAAAGAACTACTCACACAATTCTCTGTGTTAGCCATTTGGTTTAGTTCCTTCATGGCATCCTTATCATACCTAGAAATCATTTTGTTACATATTTATCTATTTATTGTCTATCACCTCTCAGAATGTAAGCTCCTTGGAGCAGCAGCTCTGCACCTAGAACAGTGCCTGACGTATAATAAGTACTCATATAGTATTTTTTGGATAAACAAACCTCATAATATCTCTTTTGTTCTTTTAAAAACCACATTTATAATATATAAAAATAACCTCCTTGACCTCTTCCCATTTTCTTCTACAAGTGGCACACAGTGAAAAGTATTATTAATGAAAGATTGCTTAAATTTATGGATGCCAGACAGAAACTTTCAGCTGCATACCAGAATAAACTGTCATATCTGGTCTATCACCAATCCTAGCTCTTTCTACAGTGTGGGCCAAGATACTTCTTTGGTAAGAGAATCTGCTTCTTATTACTTTGCTCCAGATAGGCGTTTGCTTTTTCTAACTTAAAATTCATTACTTTCTTCTTCTGGATTCTAGGTTTACTATTACCTAATTCCTTAAATGTCAACTTACTGAAACCTGGCCCTTAAGGTTATATCCTTCCCTCTTTTGTACTATTACAAAGCAACTTAAATAAAAACGGAGCCATTATCAGGTGCCATGACACACGATGCTGATACTGCAGGATAGGGTCCCTTCTCATCCTCCAAAGAGAAAACCATTGAGCAAGTCATTTCACTTTCACACCTCCATCCCCCAGGAATAGGAATAATCAAGGTAATAAGATTTGCAAAGTTGTATAATAGAGGGGGTCAATAACCTGCAAAGCCTTATACCAGAGCAGACAGAAGTACCCAATCTTGGATGCGGTTAAGAAGGGAAGGAAGACTGAGCAGGAATACAAGCAAAGCCTTCACTGAAATACAATTTTATATTGTGTTCTTAATTCTGTTTAGGATTGAAAAGCATTTTCTATACTTTCTACAATTCACAGTGGAAGCCTTTGTCCATTATATTACTCAATGTCCTTTAGTAAGGAACCAGGCAATACATGCTTCCTAGAATTTAGTATAAGGAACATGTCTCACTTTTAGATCAAACTTGGAATTTTTTTTTTTTATCAAACAATGCAAACTATATGTTGTCATGAACTTTTAGAGCTTAGAAGGGCCTTTAGAAATCAACTAACCCAGCATTTTCTGAAGTGCGCTTTAGGTGTTATGAAGAAAAAAAGAATTTTATGAGCAAACAAGTTTCTTTCTTTAACAACTTTATTGAGCTACAATTTGTATACCATGAAATTAACCCTTTTAATATGTACAATTCAGTTGTTTTTAGTATATTCACAGAGTTGTGTAGCCATCACCACTATCTAATTTTAGAACATTTTCATTACTCCCAAAAGAAACTTCATACTCATTAGCAATCACTGCCATTCCCCCAGCAAAAAAGTTTCTTGTTTTTTTTTTTGTTGTTTGTTTGTTTGTTTTACCACAGGAATCCTTGGACCCTTTATTGTGAATCTAATGTGTTTTGTGAATTTATAAGACAGGGTACCATCTGCAGTATTTCCCGAACATACTTAATAGCTAATATTTCACTGCTTACTACGCTAAATGCTGGACATGTATTACCTCGATTCTCATAATAAAATCTGTGAGGTACCATTTATAATAAATGTGGCTATTTGAGCACAAAAAGATTAAAGCTAAGTAATTTGCTCAATGTTCTTAACCACTCCACTGTACTACCTCCTGCAGAACTGACTGGTTGTGGGAGGAGAATGGACAACTAGTATTTCATAATTTTGTAAGTGTTTCAGTTCAATCTCTTTTAATTTAACAGGGAGAAAAATGGGGCCCAGGAAAGTAATCTGATTTAGCCAAGAATACACAGCATTTTCTCTTTTATTCTTTGGGATAGTTTACAGCTAAATTTGAAACCTAGCTATAGTTAATACCCCTGTTGGAACTGACTTTGATTTTTTTTTGAGACAGGGTCTCACTTCCGAGGGCAGTGGCATATCACTGCAGCCTCAACTTCCCGGGGCTCGAGCAATCCTCGTATCTCAGCCTCGCGGGTAGCTGGAACAACAGGCATACACCACCATGCCCGGCTAATTTTTGTATTTTTAGTAGAAACGGGGTTTCACTATGTTAAGCAGGATGGCCTCGAACTCCTGGGCTCAAGGGATCCGCCCGCCTCCACCTCCCAAAGTGCTGGGATTACAGGGGAGAGCCTACCGCACCCGGCTGACTTTGCTTTTTTTTTTTTTTTTTTTAAGGTGTCTCTGCCTGTCTCCCTGTAAGCAATGCACTTCACCACTTTTGCATGCACACGTCCTAGCCATCTTTCAATGTCTAGTACAGCTAGGGGGAATCACTCCACTTTCCACTCATCCTAGGTCGATGTCCTCTCTCCCTCTGTGCACTCATACATGGCCCTTCATTTCCTCTGGACATTTCTGCCTTGAATTCGAGTTACTTCAATCTCCTGCTGTACCCCATCTCCTACCGAGAGAGCTTTTGGACGGAAGGAGTCGGCGTGCACTCAAAAGGCCAGCAAGCGGGAAGCAATCAATAAGCACTTAACAGTTTCCTATCCATCCTTGGTTTAGTTCTTGTAGAGCAAGAATTTCTCTCCTCAAGCCTGCCAGCCCCCGGGGGACAGGGTTTACTGATTTTTAATGTCTCCTGCCCGAGTCCAGGACCCACCACGCGGGCTGTGGGGACCGTCAGTGCTCACCGCCACCAAGGTCGTTATGAACCAAGTGCGGGTCAAGTAACAAGTAACAATAACTAACTAGGGCCGCGGTAGGGCGGCTGCGTATCCGAAATCCCATCTAAACCTCGCGACGATCCTGGGCGGGGGCATCGCACCCTTTTCTGACAAGCAGCAGAGGCAAGCGAAGGGGTCAGTGCCGAAGAGGGGGCCCGTGTCGGTGGGTGACAGACCAAGGCCTCAAACCCGAGTCACCGCCCAGAAGATCTTGGGGCGGAGAGAGTTCCTCACTCGCCCCGCCTCGGCACCAGCCTCTGGAGCGCTGAGACCTGGGGTCCCGGGGTCGCCGGACGTGGGCAGGGTCTGGGGGTCGCGCGCACCCCCGCCCCCTGCCCCGCGCCATCTTGGAGCGCTGTGGCGGCCGCTCCCGACAGCTTCGAACCGTTGCTCTGGAGGTTACTCACCCGCACTGCCCGGAGCCAGGCCCCCTGCCACCTCCGCGACCCCCGCCACGGCCAGCAGAAGGAGCAGCGCACCTCGCAGAGAGGCCCGGACGGTCGCCATGTCCGGGCCGGGCGGCTCCAGAGCCGCGGGATGCTCGGACCCAGCTTGGCCGCAGCCGCTGCCGCCGCTACCGCCGCCGCTCGCGCGAGGCCCCGCCCCCAGCGCCCGGCCCTTTGGTGACTGGCTGCGGCCCGCTCAAGCCCCGCCCCCTGCCTCACAGTGTTTCCAAAACCTCCCGGGGGCGGGAACGTGCCCCGTACCAGGGCTCTTTGTTATGGCCCAACTGTGTGTCGGCTTCTGCCAGGAGTCCACCAGCCCACGTTCTCCCAGAGTGAAGTCAGAGGATGTCAGAGCTGGGAGAGTCATTAGAAAACCTCTGCCACCTCCTGAGGTTTCGGGCCACTGAGGTGAGAGAGGAGACTGACCTTACTCAAGATCACACTGCAAGTTCACCTGAGAACAAGGGCTTAGTCCAAGGCCGAACCAAAGGGGCTTCTCTCCTTCATGTACCCTCAGTAATACTCGCAATATTCTTTCTGCCGAGACGCTGCCTCGCACCCAAAGAAAGCATGTCACCCGGGATCCTTCGGCCTCCCGCAGACACGGCCCCCTGACAAGGGTTCATCACTAGAGCTCTTTGGCACTATAGCCTCAATGTGTCTTTGTTGTACTTTAAAAATTATTTATTTATTTATTTAGGCAAGAGTCGCTCTGTCGCCCAAGCTGGGGTGCAGTGGCGCGATCTCGGCTCACTGCAACCTCCGCCTCCCGGGCTCAAGCGATCCTCCCACCTCAGCCTCCTGAATAGCTGGGACCACGGGCGCAGGTGACCACGCCTGGCTAATTTTTATATTTTTTTTGCAGAGAAGGGGTTTCACCATATTTCTCAAGCTGGTCTCGAACTCCTCGCCTCAAGCAATCCCCCAGCCTCCTCCTCCCAAAGTACGGGGATTGCAGGCGTGAGCCACTGTGCCTGGCCTTGATGTTACTATTAAGCACCTATTCCTGATAGGAAAAGAGGATAGGAGAACGCTTGTATACCTAGATGTGGAAAGCCTTGAATATCCGGCTGAGAAGTATAGACTTTGTCCAAGAGACAAGTTGGAAGTGGGTCCCACCCCACCCATCAGCCCAGCAGCTACGTGGAGAATGTTTAAGCCACTGGCTAGCAAAGCTAATTCATTGTCTCTTTTTTTCTCTGTGTGTTCCTGAATTAAACCCTTTTTCCTCCTTTTTTGAAAAAGCATGACCACCGTTTTAAATTCTCATGAAGACACCTGGGGCTAAATTACTTAAAACATTTTTAAAATTCCTTAATATTATTAAATATCCAGTCATTATTTACATTTTTCTTATTGTCTCATGATTTCTTTTTACAATTTTTCAAGTTCTAAACAAAATCCATATATTAAAGTTGGTTTTTATGTTTTTGGGCTCTTACATTTATCCTCTCTTTCGAGTTTACAAAAGGAAAACATGAATAAGTTAAAATATCTAAAACATCTCCTCTGATGACTCTGTTGCTTCTGTGTACAAGGTAAACTGAGGCACAATAAAATTTTAAAGTTTACTTCAGCACGCGGTGATTCATGAATTGAGAAGCTGCAAACCAGAAGTGGTTCTGGGGCTCAGCTCTGTCGAAGAAGCAGATTTTTACAGAGTGAATGGGAAAGTAATAAAAAGAAAATATTTGATTGGTTACAGTTATAAAGTTGCCTTATTTGGTCTATCCCACTAAAAAGCCTCTAGTTATACAAGTTTGTGGACTACTTCTGATTGGTTGAGCTTGTTCTGTTTTTCTTTAATATATGCATTTACAAGAAATAGCTCAGATTAACTCAAGTAAGTTTAAGGTCACTTATGAGGACTAAATTGACTATCTGCTCAGGAATTCTGCAGACCTGGTCTTCATTTTAATTTATTTTAACAATTCCCCTCTGAGAGTAATAGTACCACTATTGACACAGTCACTGGGCCAAAGAGTCATGATGCTATCATTATTAACAGTTGCGGCTGGGCGCAGTTGCTCATGCCTGTAATTCCAGCACTTTGGGAGGCCAAGGTGGGAGGATAACTTCAGCCCAGGAGTTTGAGGCCAGCCCAGGCAACGTTGTCAGACCCCCATCTCAATTAAAAGAAAAAAAAAAATAAGTAGTTACATTGGGATGTAGAATCACATGTAGGCTTTGGCAGTTGGGGTAAGTTCTTCAAGTTGTCTAATCCTGATGGCAATCATTTGATGTGTGGCTGCTGGAAAGCATTAAAACTCTTGACAGGGGCTGGGCGCGGTGGCTCATGCCTGTAATCCCAGCACTTTGGAAGGCCAAGGTGGGTGGATCATGAGGTCAGGAGTTCAAGACTAGCCTGGCCAACATGGTGAAACCCTGTATCTACTAAAAATACAAAAATTAGCCAGGTGTGGTGGCGCGTGCCTATAGTCCCAGCTACTCAGGAGGTTGAGGCAGGAGGTTGAGGCAAAGTAGACCTTATTTTTTAGAGCCGTTTTAAGTTGACAGCAAAACTGAGTGGAAAGTACAGAAGGTAGACAGTCCCTGCCCCCACATATGTAAACCTCCCCCCACTGTCAGCATCCTGCACCAGAATGGTACATTTGTTACAATTGATGAGCCTACATTGACACATCATCAACCAAAGTCCATAGTTCACATTAGGATTCACTCTTGGTGTTGTACATTCTGTGGGTTTAGACGAAGGTGTAATAACATGTATCTACTCTTATTTTTTTTATTTTTTAAGATGTAGCTATCAGAAAACTTAAAATTACACGTGTGAGCCCAAAGTGAACCACAAATGTAATTATGTTTTTCCTGAGACAGGGTGTCCTTCTGTTGCCCAGGATGGAGAGCAGTGGCACAGTCCTGGGGCACTGCAGCCTTGAACTCCTGGCCTGCAGTGATCCTCCCACCTCAGCTGCCTGAATAGCTGGAACTACAGGTGCATGCCATCATGCCCAGCTAATTATTTTATTTTATTTTTTGTAGAGATGTGGTCTTGCTATGTTTCCCATTCTGTTCTCAAACTCCTGGACTCAAGCAATGCTCCCGCCTCGGCCTCTCAAGCTGTTGAGACTACAGGCATGAGCCACCATGCCCAGCCCCAATATGCAATTTTAAGCACTGTAAGAGTAGTGTAATTATCTTTCATTCTAAAAAAAGGTTAATGCTTAGAGATGAGTACGATATTTTAAAGAATGTTACTCACCAATGATTTTGTTTTGAGCCAAAAAACCATGGTTCTCAAGGTCTTGCACCTTTCCTCCTCTTCTTCTATCTCTGACTTCAGTTCCTACTGTTTCTGTCGTGTCCAGCCATCACCTCCAGCCAATCTTGCTCAGGGCCTTTCCCTAACTGCTCCATGTAACTCCTGCCTCAGGACCTCTGTGCTTGGAGTTCTTTCTGCTTGGAATTAATTTCTCCCAGATAGTTGTACACTCTCCCTTTTCTTTTTTAGGTCTTAACTCAAACGGCCTTCCTTAATTGCCCTTCTTAAAATTAAAACTCAACCCCACCTCTGAACTTCTTCTCCCCTTTCACACTTTATATTTTCAAAAGCCATGATTACCTTCTACCATATTAATAGGTTCTAATATATAATATTATAAAATATACTACTTACTTTCCCAAAGTGTTGCTTGTTTATTATTTGTTTCCTTACTTCATGAGGGCAGATATTTTTGTCTGAGACTACAGACTATCCTTATTTCTTTTATACATACACACACACACACACACACAAACTTTTTTTTTTTTTTAAATGAGACAGGGTCTTGCTCTGTCACCCAGGCTGGAGTGCAGTGGCATGATCACAGTTCACTGAAGCCTCAACCTCCCAGGTTTAAGTGATCCTCTCGCCTCAGCCTCTTGAGTAGCTGGGACAACAGGTGTGTGCCACCATGCCCAGCTAATTTTTTTGATTTTTTGTAGAGACGAGGTCTCACTATGTTGCCCAGGCTGGTCTCGAACTCCTGGGCTCAAGTGATCTTTCTGTCTCGGCCTTCCAAAGTGCTGGGATTGTAGCTGTGAGCCACCATTCCTGGCCAAATATCCTCATTTCTTAATTGCTTCCTGCAGCAGAGCCTGAATCTGTTTCAGAAAGAGAAACTTTTAAAATTAAGAATATGGCAGATGTTTAAGTAGTTTTAATTAAATAGGAGTATTGTTTTTTAGAACTTTTGCATAGTAAATTTCTAAAGCCAATCTTTAATGGAAATACTTTTTCTGACTTTGTTTAGCCTGAACATATTTGATCATGATTAATTGACCTAGCTTAATAAGGAAGAGGTCCATTTTGAGTTAGTTAACTAAGACTTTATGGCATCTGATTTCATATGTGTACAGTAGGACAATTTTGTGAAATATTAATGTATTTTCTGTTCCCAGTAATTCCTTCATTAGAACTAAAACATGAGGGCAAGGCATTCACATCTTCAGAGATGATCATTAGAGTAGAAAAATAGTCAAAGAGGACAACTCCTAGCTTTTGGTTTTAAAAAACATACACTTAAAATTTCAGGCAGAGACAATGGCTTTAAAGAGAAAAAGCCTTTGAAATATCAGAACGTGGTCTATTTTATAGCTGAGAGCATAAAATATTTGTATGAAGAACAGACATGGAAGAATACTATGATTAGTCAGACACAGTCCCTCCTACCCCCTCAGTCCCCAGCAATTTGATTCACTCTGATGTGGAAGGAGGAGAGCCACTGGAGGAAAAGAAGGCGTCTCTGGTCTCCTTCTTCTGATGCAGTGGGGTGGGACATAGAATCCCCAGAAAGGCTTGAGACTACGAGATAAGAGGGGATCTGATTCTCCTTGCTGTGTGGAGCTCAGGAAATGACAGACCTCATAAAATTCATCTGCACTTAACACGATGTAGGTATAGAGTAGAAATGGCTGCAAATGTGTCCTGTTTCATGCTCCACACAGAAGAGCAGCCAAATGTTTTTTTGCCCCTCAAGAGATGCAAGGTAGGAGACAGCTGAGAGCCTGAAGCGACCTCAAGATTGGAATGAGGAGGCTGTATCTGTTATTTGAATCATCTGTACAAATGGATACCAGATGAGAATGCAGATGTCAACAGGGATTGATGATGATGACTGAGGACCACATGTCCTGTCTTCTTCTCCAGTCCCAGTTGCTGGCTTTGGCTCTATATAGACCTCTCAAAGCTGGGGAGGGGTTTGTGAGAGGCCTTGACTAAACTGAGATCCCACTGAACTTACTGAGATTTAGTTTTAGTCATTCGGCAGGAAGGGGATATGCAGAGTCAACTAACTGTCCATTGAAGATTTGATCACCCCTTCTAGAAGTGGTTGCTTGAAAGCAACTACCAGCCAGAGACATTTTCCAATTGCTAGTGTGTCATGTTCACTGTTAATTTAATAACTGGGAGTAAGGCCTTGGAGAACGAAGGGTCCCTGTGCCTCGGAGCAGAATTGGCATATCTAACATCCACACTGATGCCTACAGTAAGATCTAAGAGGAGGAAGAAAAGCCCTACTCCTAGGCATCCAACACCCACGTTATGAAATTCAGCATTGAGACCTCAGCCTATGATGCTGGTACAATATCCTGCCAGCCTCCAATAAGCCCTCTAAAGACGTAAGCCTGTGAATATAAAATTTCCACCCCCCCATTCTTTACTCTCTTTGGCAGTTTATTTTAGTAATTTTTGAACTTAAAACTATTATTTTTTATTTTTTAACTATAGAATCATTCCTTTCCCAAAAAAATCTTAGAGTTCTGCTATATAAACAAGAAAAAAGTTGTGTTGTATTGCTACACTTATTTTATAAGTTCAAATTTATAGCAATTATGTAGTTCAAAGTCAGTGAATGAGAGTTCAAAGACAGTGAATGAGAATTCAAAGACAGTGAGTAAGATTTTGATAAATATAAAAACTTGAATTCTGGAATTATGGATGACTGTTGCAGTCACACATGTTCCAGCTTCCGATTTATTTAACGCATTTTCTTTTTGTTGCCTGCTATAGAGAAAATCCTGATTCATAGAGATGAGTACCTTGCCAAGGGTCACCGTTTTTGAAATAACTTAACTTGCAATCCCACACAACTCTTTATTTAAATTAAGATGGTATCCTGAAAATGAAGCACTGAGAAATTTCTGTTTAAATATTGGTTCATGAAAACTTATGTCCACATAAAAACTTGCACATGGATATTTATAGCAGCTTTAGTCCTAATTGCCAAAACTTGGAAGCAACCAAGATGTCCTTTAGTAGGTGAATGGAGGAAAAAAAGACAACAACTTTGGTGCATCCAGACTGTGGAATATTATTCAGTGCTAAAAAGAAATGAGCTATTAAGTCATGAAAAGACATGAAGGAACTTTAAATGCATACTACTATGTGAAAGAAGCCAATCTGAAAAGGCTCCATACTTTATGATTACAAATATATGACATTCTGGAAAAGGTAAAACAATAAAGACGGTAAAATGATTAGTGTTTGCCTGGGGTTGGGGGAAGGGAAGGATGAAAGGCAGAGCACAGAGGATTTTTTAGGGCAGTGAAACTAATCTGCATGATACTGCAATGGTAGATACATGTCATTATACACTTGTCAAAACCCATAGAATGTATTCTATGGGTACACCATAGAGTAATGTATACACCAAGAGTAAACCCCAATGCAAATGACGGATTTTGGGTGATGATGTGTTGATGTAGGTTAACCAATTGAGACAAATGTACTACTCTGGTTGATAGTGGGGGAGGTTGTGCATATGTGAGGACAGAGGATGTGTGGGAGCCCACTGTACTTTCCACTCAAGTGTGAACCAGAGTGTGCTAAAAAAGTTTATTAATTTAAAAAATGTTAGATGTTAAAAATCTGAAAAAACTGATTCACTAATATGACAGCTGCTCAAATTTCTTATCACACATTGAAAAGAACCAAAGATGTAGCAACCAAGACTTATGTTTAATCTCGATGCTATTTATAAGGTAGTAGCAACCAAAATTTGTGGTTAATCCTCATACTATTTATAATGCACATTATTTTTGTGTGACATGTTCTCTTGTTATTGTGCAATTGGCTATGATGCCATAAAAAGAACATGCACCAAGCAGATGATTCATAGCCTTGCCCAACACTTAATTGAGAACAGCACATATTTGTACTTCTTTGTATAATTTTACATGAGCTATGTGCATAGGCTTGGATTAAAGAAAGATCATTCCACATCTGAATCTATTCTAGTAATAAACAGAGAAAAGAGAAAAGATAAGTGCAGAGCCACACTTTTTTCGAATCAAGGACATTTAAAGAAGATTGCACAGAGATGGCAGGAAAATAATTATTCCAAGTTCTAATCAAAAGTGAGTCAATTCGACAGGACACATGTTAATGTGGTAGTAGCTTCTAGCATGTCAAAAATTGAAAAACAGAACACATTCGTGTATGTCCACTGTCTTGCATATTAAAAGTTATTTAGAATAGCTATATTTTTAAAGAAACTCAAATTAACTACTTGTGGGATGTGACGGACCTCCACTGGGGAAAAATTAGATTCTTGTTTAATCAGGTTATATTATTCCAGAGTTTTGTATAATGTATGTTTCAACATATCTATTTTAATTCTGATACCTTCTTTCTCTCCCAGAATAATGAATCACACTCTCTTCTACAGCTGGTATAAATATGTCATTGTGTTCTTTTTTAGCTTTTTGTAATCATAACAGCATTTGTTGTTTAATCCAGCTGAAGTTTATGGAAGTATATGGTGTGATTTATGGATCAAAGGCAACCTTCATTCAATTGAATGTTGTTGCTGTTCCACTATTTATTAAAACATGATTCCTTCTTTAAGCTATTAATTTTGGTCTGATGTATATGGATTAAATTCTTACAGTTTGGATTCATTTTTCTGGTATCATGAATATGAATGATTTGCAAAACAAAAATCCAATGGTGTATAGTTCAATAATTGTTACCCCGCATATAAGTTCAAATCTGGTAGGAAGAATCTGACATTGTGATCTTCAAAAGATCCTTGTATTGTTCCATTATTCTTCACTAGCAATTTACAGTGTTCAGCAGAGTCTTTTGGATAATTTAAAACACCAAATAACTGTGTTTATAAGGCCAGATTTCCTATCAGCCCTACTTCAAACATAGTGGAATTTGAATCTTTGGGGACAAAGCCCAGCAATATGTATATTAAATAAGTTTTTTTTGTTTTTGTTTTTGTTTTTGTTTTTGAGACAGAGTCTTGCTCTGTCACCCAGGCTGGAGTGCAGTGGTGTGATCTCTGCTCACTACAACCTCTGCCTCTTGGGTTCAAGCGATTTTTCTGCTTCAGCCTCCTGAGTAGCCGGGATTACAGGCATACACCATCACATTTGGCTAATTTTTTTTTTTTTTTTTTTTTTTTTTTTTAGTAGAAATGAGGTTTCACCATGTTGGGCAGGCTGGTCTCGAACTCCTGACCTTAAGTGATCTGCCCACCTTGGCCTCCCAAAGTGCTAGGATTACAGGTGTGAGTCACCACACCCGGCCATATTAAAGAAGTTCTTTTGTTTGTTACAATTTGAGAGCTTCTACTTTAGGAATAAAGGTCACTTTTATTGTATTTCTTTCCCCAAATCCCTAGCCAATCCCCCTGCTTTCCTTTATACTCTTATACTAGTCTTGATTGGATGCAGTGGCTCACACCTGTAATCCATACTTGGGAAGGTCCATGCGGGAGGATTGCTTGAGGTCAGGAGTTTGAGACCAGCCTGGGCAATATAGCAAGACCCCTAACTCTACCAAATATATATATATATATATATATATATATATGCCTAACTCTACCAAATCTATCTATCTATCTATCTATCTATCTATCTATCTATCTATCTATCATCTATCTATCTATCTATCTATCTATCTATCTATCTATCTATCCCAGGCATGGTGGTGTGTGTGCCTGTGGTCTTAGCTGAGGGAGGCTGAGGCCAGAGGATAGCTTGAGCCTCAGGAGTTCAAGGTTGCAGTGAGCTGTGATGGTACCACTGTACTCCATCCAGGCTGGGCAACGCAACAAGATTCTGTCTCTAAAAAAAAAATAAATGAAAACAAAAAGAAAACAGTCTTATACTTTTATTCTTGACTTGATCTGTCATGTCTGGAATTATGATTATTCTCAATTATTTGATATTTGTAATTATTATGAATACAATAGTATTCCTTGTTTTTTTTTTTGTTCTTAGTTTGTGTTGTTGCTTGTTGAACACAGGAATGTATATGTAGGTATGTGGGAATACAATCGATTTTGGGGAACTTATTTCTATTTTCTAACTTTTCTGAACTCATATTACTGCTAACAGTTTTCTGGTTAATTTTTAGAAATACTGTAATGGGTTTTCTGCAAAAATTGACCCATATTTCTTTCTCTGCTATATTTACGTCTCTTATTTTGCACTTGACCACATTTTTATATCTATTTGCACTTGGCTACATTTTAGAACTATTTGAAATGAGAATTAGGGTGGGGACAGTGTATAAACTAAAGAAAATTACTAGTTCAGTCAGCTAAAAAATTACACATAACAATTCAGATAAGAATGAGAACTGAAGAAAGAAGTTGCTTCTTTTTTAAAAAAATTGACTTTACTGAGGTATAATTTGCACACAATAAAATGTACCCATTCTAGGCCGGGCACGGTGGCTCACGCCTGTAATCCCGCACTTTGGGAGGCCGAGCGGGGAGGATCATGACGTCAGGAGTTGGAGACCATCCTGGCTAACGCGGTAAAACCCCGTCTCTACTAAAAGATACAAAAAATTAGCCGGGCGTGGTGGCGGGCGCCTGTAGTCCCAGCTACTCAGGAGGCTGAGGCAGGAAAATGGAACCAGGAGGCGGAGCTTGCAGTGAGCTGAGATCACGCCACTGCACTCCAGCCTGGGTGACAGAGCTAGACTCCATTTCAAAAAACAAAAAAAGGTACCCATTCTAAGATTCAGTTCCATGAGTCTTAAGAAATGTATGCTCTTGTGTAACTACCATCACAAAATCAAGATATAAAATATTCCCACCACTCCCCAAAGCTTCTTCATGCCCTTGCAATCAACCCCGCACCTCACCAGGCTCCAGGCAACAACTGGTATGATTTTTGTCACCATATATTAGCTATGACTTTTCTAGAATTCCAATCATACACCATGTACTCTTTTGTGTCTGGCCTCTTTCACTTAGTATAATGTTTCTGAGATAATCCTATGTCTTAGCATTTTTTGGGTATTTTGTTCCTTTTTACTGCTGGGTAGTATTTCATTGTATGGATGTACCTCAATTTGTTTATCTTTTGACTTATTGATGAATATTTGGGTTATTTTCAATGTGGGGCTATTATGAATAAAGATTCTATGAGCATTTGTGTACATGTCTTTGTATGGATGTATATTTTTATTTCTTTTATGTAAACACTCATGTCTCAAGATGTATTCGAGTCATCTTAATTTATGTAGATGACCGAGTGAAAATACATAGAGGCCAATGCCTTTGAAAGAAGATTTTTATTATTTACATTTCCCAAGAGGAGAGGTCACACCATTCCATGCTGGGGTCATGTGGGGAAGCACCAAGGTTTTTTCAGGAGGCAGAAGCAAGAGTGAGGGGAGAGCCTAGGCCAGAGACTCTATTACAGTTTCCTTGGGAAAGGCAGGGCAGGGGTGGGTAGACAGCATAGGATTGAAAAATATGTGGGCTCTGGGCTATGAGGGTGGTCTCTGGTTGTCCGATACATGGCCCTGGGTGGTTTAGGGCAGGGAAATATTGGTTGGTATGTGAGTTAGATAAGGAGGTGGTTCAGAGTATAGGCTCTGGATCTCAGAGGAGATGTAAACAACTTTGGTTGTTAGTTTGGCCCTGAAATTAACGGATGTCAAATAGACAAATGCAGAATCTAAGAAAATACAAAACTCAAGACTTGAACTATTGTCACAAGGAAGTGTATGTTTAACTTTATAAGAAACCAGTAGCTGTTTTCCAAAGGATTGTACCATATTACATTCTCATCAGCAATGTATGTGAGTTCTAGTTGCTACATGTCTTCCATAACACTTGGTATTGTCAGTCTTTAAAATTTTAGACATTCCAATGAGTGTAGGGTGAAATCTCATTGTGGTTTTAATTTGATTTTCCATAGTGACTAATGACGTTGAACAATTTTCATGTGCTTCTTGGACATCTATAAATCTTTTGTGAAACTCCTTTGTGAAGCATCTGTTCAAATCTTTCCCACATTTTCGGGGACTGCCTTCTTATTGCATTGTGAGAGTTCTTTACATATTATGGATACAAGTCCTTTATCAGATATATGCATTGCAACTATTGTCTGTCAATCTGTTGCTTACCCATTCATTTTCTTAATGGTATTGTCCGAAGAGCATAAGTTTTAAACTTTGGTGAAGTCCAATTTGGCACTTATTTCCTTTAGGGTTCATGCTTTTTTGCATCTTAAGAAACTTTTGCCTATTCTGAGGTCACAAAGATTTTCTCCTGTGTTTTCTTCTAGACTTTCCGTAGTTCTAGCTTAAGCATTTATGTCTATGATTGATTTCAAATGAAGTTTTGTGAATGGTGTGAAGTAAAGGTCAAGGTTCATTTCTTCCCCCGTATGACTATCCAGTTGCTCCAGAAACATCAACGCCCAACTGGCTTGGGCCTGCTTTGACACTGCTGATACAATGGACCCCTGAAGATGTGGCTAATATTCCCATTTGTTCTAAATCTTTCCATTCAATGGCCTTGACCCATTAAATGGAAAGATTTAGTAATGGGGTCACTTCATCACTCACCATGGTGATCCTGCTGACAACATGATCAGATAATATGTCCAACCACCCCTGTATCCTTCTAATGGGGACAGGAATTCTGGACCCCTTTCATGTGCCATCGGGGCTGAGAGTGTCTTGGAATTGGTGGTCTGTTGCAGGCCCAGTCCTTCTGGGCTTGTAGCATCCATAAGATGTTGGTCATTCTGGAGAAGTAAAGAACCATAAATATTCATGGATTCGCCCTTAACAAATATGGACTTTCTATCAGAGGTTTTATTTTCTCAACATCACCCACAACCTCTAGCTTGGGCACCAGCCCAGGATGGAGAAGGTGTTAAATTCCTCCCTATCCAATCAATAGAATCTTACACTAGTTCTATCTTTTCTGATTATCCTCTTCAATCTGACCAAGCTTCTAGCTAAGAAAGCACTCCATTTCTCCCTAAGGACATTGGAAACCTTAATTATTATATCGTGAATTCTCTTGCCTATACCTTTTAGTAAAGATAAAGGTAAACCCAAACTGCTGATAACCCCCAATTTTGCTCTTAATCTATAAAAGAGAAATTCTGGATTTTTAAAAACTCTCTTTTCTCTCAGAAAGCCTAATTTTTTTGAGATGAGGTCTCACTCTGTTGCCCAGGCTGGAGTGCAGTGGTGCAATCAAGGCTCACTCTGTGCAGCTTTGAACTCCTGGGCTCAAGTGGTCCTGCCCCAGCCTTCCAAGTAGCTGGGACCACAGGTGTGTGCTGTCACACCCAGCTAGTTTTAAATTTTTTTGTAGAGATGGGGTCTCACCATGTTTCCCAGGCTGGTCTGAAACTCTTGGCCTCAGGTGATCCTCCTGCCTTGGCCTCCCAAAATGCTGGGATTACAGGTGTGAGCCACCATGCCTGGCCAGAAAGCCTAATTTTTAAGATTATTGTCTAATTTGACACTCTAAGAGAAAAACAAACGTTTCATTCTAGGGAGTCTTTGTTCATCTCCATGAATTAATGAAACTATTGATTGAATAGGGGGAGCAAATGGGCAACTTGATTTTGGGAATATAAAACCACACTGGTCAAGGGTATCTCTTCTGGCAGCATGAACAATTAGATTCTCTGAGTATTCTCGTCTTGCTGAGTGTGAAACACAACTGAGCATGCTGAATAAAATGTAAAAACATTTTTTTAAAAGGTACTGATGAGCTTTCCAGAAACTAAGGGATACTCAAAGGCCAAAAATTAAGTGAAATCTGCAACCCAGAGACTTAAAAGCATTGACATTTTAGGCTTTTGCTATGAGGGAATTTGCCGGGCTGATGAACACCTCACAGGCTTGCTGATGCCCAAGGGCTTGGCTCACAGTAGGAGACTTGCGCGAGGACGTCTTCCTACCCTGCCTCTTCCTTCAGCCCTCCTGCCCTGGTCCCACATCTTCTAGGGCTTTGCTCCTCAAAGCGTGGCCTGCAGAGTTCAGCAGCATAGACATTACCTGGAAATCTGTTAGAGATGTAGAATGTCAGACCCTACCTCAGACTCACCGAATCCTTATCCACATTCTCAGATAACTCATGAAAACATTCAAGTTTGAGAAGCACCTATCTCAGGAGCTTGCAGAAATTTCAATTGTCAGCTTCAGCAATGTCCACCAGGTGGCAGGTTTGCAGCAGGCACAGGTAGCTAGAGCTGCAACCAGCCACCCAATTCTGTAAGTGGCACTGGAAGTTAGGAACAATTGCTCACGAACTGTGGAGGGAATGAATGGAGGGGCGACCCCAGAGGAGACCCCTAATCAAAGAGTGGCGGGTGGTGGGGTGCGAGCCATGAGTTCCCCCTCTCTGGCAGTCCCCAGTTGTATTGGCTAGTGACAGGGACGGGCTATACGCTCTCATTTTACAGACAAAGAAATCAAGGCCCAGAGAAGGAAGGAGACTTAGCCAAGTGCTCAGCAGCGGGAAATAGTGTTAGGGCTGGACTTGGAAGGCAGGTGTCAGGCTGCCTGGCCTGGGCTGAAAGCACTCTGTGGTCTATGCTGACCTGAGCGGCTGCCTCTCCACTCCCTCCCCTCAGATGCTCTTTGAACAGCTATCTTGTTTTCTCTGGAAGTGCTAGAAGCTGCTGTTATAATAATTCAATTCGGATGGCCAGTGGTATTTCCACATGATATAGTTTGGATACTTTCCTCACCCAAAACTCATATTGAATTGTAATCCCCAGTGCTGGAGCTGGGGCCTGGTGGGAGGTGTTTGGATCACGGGCAGATTCCTCATGGCTTGGTGCTGTCTTTGTGATAGTGAGTTCTCCCAAGATTCAGTTGTTGTAAAGTGTGGCACCTCCTGCCTGCTCTCTCTCTCTTTCTCTCTCTTTATCTTTCTCTCTCTTTCACTCACTCCTGCTTTGGCCATGTGAAGTGCCTGCTCCCACTTCACCTTCTGCCATGAGTAAAAGATCCCTGAGGCCTCCCCAGAAGTTAAGCAGATGCTGGAGCCATGTTTGTATAGTCTGCAGAACCATGAGCCAGTTAAACTTCTTTTCTTTATAAATTACCCAGTCTCAGGTATTTCTTTATAGCAGTACAAGAATGGCCTAATACACCACAATACTCAAGGTCCTGTGGCTAGAATCACTGCCTTGGAAGGTCAACTTTGAAAGGACCTCAAAGCCATGCAGTCTAAAACTAGCTTCTAGCAGGGGAGAGAAACAGCTAAGGTCCACGGAGGGGCTCCGACGGCCAGCCCCCACCCCAACCCCCACTGCCATGTCTTGTCATTAGTTCATTTGGGTTTTTTGTTTGCTTTTTTGTTGCTTTGTTTCTTTGGTTGCAATTATGCCTACTCTCATGTCAGAAAGGATTTGTGGTAACCCAAAAATGTATTCAAGGCCAAAAAATTAAAAATAGATAGGTAAGGAAATGGGGCAATGGGAAATTAAAAGTAGAAATGTGGGGGCACTTTCCCTCTAGGTCCTTTGATAGAAGCTTCCATTACTTGTGACACAACAGGGGACACTCAGTTTACTTGTTCGTCCTAGTCCCATGGTTCATGGCCTGGACCTTGGGAAAGTCCCTTCTTTCCTCTGAGTTATCATTTCCCCATGAGCACAGTGAGGTGCTTAGAGATCATATGTTCTGGCCACCTGGGATTCTGACAGTCTGTCATTCAGTTAGGGGTTTCTGAAATACCAGGTTCTTCACAGCAGCCTTCACACCCTTTTTCCTCAGGCTGTAGATGATGGTGTTCAGCATGGGGGTGACCACTCCATAGGAGAGGGAGATGAGTTTGTCTGCAAAATCCTGCTTGTCTGCCCCCAGTGGGTCCTTCGACTTGGGCTTCCCATGCGTGAAGAGGATGGTCCTGTAGAAGATGACCACAACTGTGAGGTGGGCAGAGCAGGTGGAGAAGGCCTTTTGCCTGATCATGTTGATAGAGATGTCAGCACAGGCCAACTTCAGGACAGCCAGGACCTCACAGGTCAAGTGGTTGATGATGTCCCCATAGAAGGGCAGGTGACTGATGACATTTAGTCTCTTCCCTTCCCTTAGGGCAGATGGGCCAAGAACTCCTCTGCTCTGGTGATATCAGCCAGGAGTCAGTCCCAGGTACCCTGTAACTCCAGTGCCAAGACTTTAAACTTTTACTGACCTTTAAGTAAATTTCACTTCACCAGTGAGCCTCTATGACTGGATAGCAAGGGGCCTCCTGCACGTTTTGGCCAAGTTGAAGTTCAGTTATCTCTGAACTTCCCTCCTCCTCATTCCCCATCAGCTCTCACGAAAGACACTGACTTGCTTCTGAGGCTGGTCCTGAGATTTCCCTTGCTTTTTTCAGGGAACTAAAAATCTCTCTTTCGGATTTCTAGGTGCTCACATGTGATTTATCCTGGGTCATCATAAGCTTGTTGACAATCCAGAGGTTTTGCAGTTGGCTTTATTTTACCCTGTGCTTGAAAACCATACAAACTCTGTAGAAATCCATCTCCTCCGAGCTCTGCTTTGTGATCTGACCCCTTCCCAGGTTGCTACAGGAGCACTTCCAGCAAGGAGCTGTGAGACTGTCCTGTACCTGTGCAAGCACACAGTGTCTGTGCCGTGGCCGTTTGGCTCAAGTCAAGAGATGGCTACTGAGCACACCTTCTGTGCCAGGCCTGATTCTCAGTGCTGGGTACTCAGAGATGAAAATCAAAGTTTCTACTTTAAAGAGCTCAATATTTAGGAGAAGACAGACATGCTAAAAAATCAGTGCAAGGGCTATAACAGCAACAGCAGCTGTAGAAGCAGTGGTAGGAGCTATTATCAATTGAATATAAATTTTGTACTAGGAGGCCAGATGCGGTGACTCCCCTTTGTAATCCCAGCACTTTGGGAGGCTGAGGCAGGCGGATTGCTTGAGCTCAGGAGTTCAAAACCAGCTTGGGCAACACAATGAGACCCCATCTCTACAAAATTTTTTTTTTTAGAAAATAGCTGGGTTTGGGGGCATGCACCAGTAGTCCCAGCTATAATCAAGCAGCTTAGCAGCTAAGCCTCAAAATGCATTTTATAACTCTTTTTCCTTTCCCCTTTCTTCCTCCTCCCACCCCCAGTCTCAAGATATAACTTTGAGACAGACTGCTTATGTGTTACCTTTCATCTTGAAATACAGCCTCAGAATGGGCTGTGAACCTCCACTCCCTTTCTTTTCCCATTCTGTGCTCCCATGCCTTATGCACATTTATTTACCTAGATGCTTGTTAAGCACACACCATGCTCACTTATCTGGTCATATGCTTCCTTTGATGCTTCAGAGGTCAGATCCTGATAGGGACCAGACACCTCCAGAATTCTCTGTCCAACAAAAGGTTACCTCAGGGCTGGAACCCACTCTCAGCTGAAGAGTGAACACAAGGTTGACTGTGATTAATTTATAACCTGGTAGGATCCACAATGGCACCAGCCCCTTCACCAAATGGAACAATAATTCAAGATGAGCCATCGGACTGTCATAGCACCTGGCATCTCCTAGCCCCACTTGCCTTTTCCACATTCCAAAATGCCTTCTTTAAAAACCCTTGCATTCCCAGCCAGGCACGGTGGCTCACGCCTGTAATCCCAGCACTTCGGGAGGCCGAGGCAGGCAGATCACGAGGTCAGGAGATTGAGACCATCCTGGCTAACACAGTGAAACCCCGTTTATACTAAAAATACAAAAAAATTAGGCAGGTGCAGTGGCAGGTGCCTGTATCCCACCTACTTGGGAGACTGAGGCAGGAGAATGGCGTGAACCCAGGAGGTGGAGCTTGTAGTGAGCGAGATCGTGCCACCGCACTCCAGCCTGGGTGACAGAGTGAGACTGTCTCAAAAAAAAAAAAAAAAAAAAAAAAAAAACCACCACCACCACCACCACCACCAAAAACCCCTGCATTCCCTCCACAAATTGAAGACTGGAATTTGCTGTCTACTCTTCCCCTTGCTGGCATGTATAATAAAGGAATATGGCTCTTCCGTATCATAACTCGTTATTATTTTGACTTCATTCCACAAGCAGTGAGCAACTAGATCCTTTTGCCAGTTCCACAGCTACTCGGGAGGCTGAGGTGGGAGGACTGCTTGAGCCCAGGATGTTGAGGATGCAGTGAGGCATGATCATACCACTGCACTCCAGAATGGGTGAGACAGCAAGACCTTGTTTCAAAAAAATTAAAAAAATGAAAAATTATGTACTAGGCACCTTATGTACTGTCATTCTCACAACATCCTCAGAAGGAAAGAGCTATCACATCTGTCCTCAGATGAAGAGAGAAAGTGCAATAAAATCCAAAACATATGTCTAAGGAACGGGGGCAGATGTTCTTATTCCACTGGTAAGCCTTTAAGTTGGATCTGAGGCCCAGCCCTATAACTAGGGCTGTTTTCCTCTTTGCTTTTAAATGTAAAGGTCAGACTAAAAGACTGAATGAATATCCATCTGCCCCTGACGTCTTCCATACACAGGTCAGGTCAGGATCTGTAGGGACTCTGTCTGGGCCCCATGTCTCCAAGGTCAGATTCCTCTCTGACCCAGGGCTGGATGTTTTGATTCCCCTTGAGCAGCTCCTCTTCCGTCCTGGGAAGGAAGCCATATGGTTTATTCCACAAATTGAATCATGGTTCAAACCTTCATTCTCTTGTAAGAAGAAAGATGAGGGATGTTTCTATTTTGGGATCACTTAAGCCTAATTAATTTGATTTGGAAGTATTCATGTTTGGAGTGTTTGCCAGTGTTTTTCTTTCAGTGGTCATGCAAAATAGTCAGAAACAGTCACAGGATGGATGCTCTCTGCTTAATCAGGGTTTCCTAAAACACACCACCGTACAGGCCATTCTTCAATTCTGGCTTTTGTTCCGCTCATAGACAATGGTAGGCCCAAGCTTGGAAGGAGCCTTAGGGACTAATCAGGCCAATTCCTGTGCAAAGCATACCAGCCTTACTACTTCCTTGATCACGGTCCTCCAGGCTCAGCTGGAATACAAATGCCCCTCAACTTACAATGGCGCAACGTCATGATAAACCCATCATAAATGGAAAATATTGTAAGTTGAAAATGCATTTAATACCCTTAACTTGCTGAACATCATAGCTTAGCCTAGCCTACCTTAAATGTGCTCAAAACACTTACAGCAGTCTACAGTTGGGCAAAATCATCTAGCACAAAGTAATTTTATAAGAAAGTGTTGAATATCTCATGTAATTTATTGACTACTATATTGAAGGTGAAAAAAATGGTTGTATGGGTACTTGAAGTACAGTTTCTACTGAATGTGTATCACTTTTTCACCATTGTAAAGTTGAAAACTTGTAAGCCAGCTTTCTTCCAGCACCCTGTGCTAAGAAGAGCCCTATGTACGTAGGATATATTTGTTTAGAATTTATGTATACTTGGGTAATCCTAACCATTAATTTTTCCAGAAGTGAATACCTTGGGGATGAGGAGAGCCATGAAACCTCCATTTTCTTTCTGGGGTCTGGCTTTGTCACCCAGGCTGGAATGCAGTGGCACAATCAGCTTACCACAGCCTTGAACTTCTGGGCTCAAGCGATCCCTCTGCCTCAGTCCCGAGTATCTGGGACTACATGTGTGCACCACTACACCTGGTTAACTTTTAAAAATGTTTTTGTAGAGATGGAGTGGGGGGTCTCACTCTGTTGCCCATGCTGGTCTCAAACTCTTGGCCTGAAGAGAACCTCCTGCCTCACCCTCCCAAAGTGCTGGGATTACAGGCATGAGCACCACGCCCAGCAAGAACTCCATTTTTCTTTTTTCTCTTTTGAGACAGAGTCTCATACTGTCACGTGGGCTGGCGTGCAATGGCATGATCTCTGCTCACTGCAACCTCCGCCTCCTGGGTTCAAGTGATTCTCCTGCCTCAGCCTCCCAAGTAGCTGGGATTACAGGTGCCCGCCGCCACACCCAACTAATTTTTTGTATTTTTAGTAGAGACGGTGTTTCACTATGTTGGCCAGGCGGGTCTCGAACTCCCAACCTCAGGTGATCTGCCCGCCTTGGCCTCCCAAAGTGCGGGGATTACAAGCATGAACCACCGTGCCCGGCCTTTAGAACTCCATTTTTCTACTGACACCTCCCCTGGTTCCTGTCTTGACCCATGCCAATTGCTTCCAATTATATTCAATTGCTCAGATGGTCAGTTGCTCCATTTATATCATCATTGGCTGCCTTTATTCCCTTCTGTCTTCAAACATGCCAGTCATTTCAGACCGATAATGATGCATAAAAGGTGCCGACTCACTTTTGTACAAACAACATTGGCATTATTTCCTTCTGAATATGCCTGGAACTAGAGTTTATGTTATCTGGTATCAGAGTCACAGAAATGCCTCATGTCTTGTGAAATAAGGCTTCTCTATTTTTTGGGCCTAAATTCATATTAAACCTATGCTATTTCTAAGGAGTTGAGAGTGGGTGTATGCCAGGAATCACAATTTTTTCAAATTGCTCATTGAAAGGGACTTCTTTAAAAGTCATCAGGCCATCACAGCCCCCACAGAGGAACAGGCTGCTGTTCTGCTGGCTGCTGTTTTAGAGAGGGTGTCTGGCAACCAAGAGATCCTTCAGGACGGTTGGGGTGGCTCCTGGAAACATCAAACTGCCTTGGCAGAGTGTAGAGGAAGGAGCCAAAAGGTTCAAAGAATTTGGTATGCTCAATGGACTTCCAAATTAGACCTACCAGATGGCTATGTTCCCTAGGAAGGCTAGAGGACACTCTCTTCACTAAGTTAATAAGAAAATGCACTAGTGAGGTGCATTATTGAGAACCTCAGCAGTGTTTATCCTCTGTCAGCTGAGGCTGACTGTAGGAGGTGCTGTTTTGGAAGTGGGGTCCCTAGTGTTAATGGAGATGATAATTTTCCAGAATAGTAGAGGCCTGATGGCAGCACTTAACTATTAGGGGCAAGAAGATTAATTACTGTAATAGACAGCAAGGTCAGAATAGCAACCAGAGGGCCTGACCCACAGGAATGTACGGTAATGAGTATGAAACTGTGATGTTCCTGGGAGCAAGACAGGTAGGCAATTTAGAAGGTTGTAAATGTAGGTAATTAAAAAAAAAATCAAGCATGGATGAGCAGAAGCCTGATAACAGCTTCCCTGTTGAAAAATTATGATCATTCACTCAATTCCAGACCTAAATTAATTCTCAGATCCAAAATACCTCAATTGAAGGAGAGGCTGTTCTTTGAGGAAGAATGCCTCAAGGGCATTCCCTTGCATGTATGTAGTGGTGATTTTCTCTATATTTCCCTCCAGGAACTTGTGACTATTTCCCTGAGTAGCTGTACACTGGGGAAAATGGAATACCCCAATATTTTGAGGGCTGTTGGTTATAGAATCTTAACTGACACCAATACCAAGGAACCCAAAGGAGCATCTACTGTAGGAGTATATGGAAATCAGGTGATAAATGGGGTCTAGGTCCAAGTTTGTTTCCTGATAGGACAAATGGATTTTTATGGAACTAACCACTGGTACTCATTCTCCAGGTTTCCAAATGCATAACTGGCACAGACATACATAATAGCTGGTTCTCACATTTGCAGTAGGGGTGAGTCCTGCCTAGAGTGGGATCTGTGACCTCCACCTCTCTCCGGCCTCTGGAAGGAATCTCTCCTCCTTCCTGTTTTCACGTCTGCCCTTTCTTCTTCCCCTTCTGGACATCTGAATGTGTCTCTTTAATGGGCTTAGGCTTTTTAAAAAGTGATGGGAACTGGTGAATTCCAGCTGTTTTAATTCTCTAGGCCACCCTCTCTATGTCCTCATTACACTCCCACCAATAAAAATGCATTTAGGGCAAAGACCTGAGTCTTATTTCACATGGGGATGAGGAAGAAAAAAAGAGAAAAGAAAAGGAGAAAACAACCTAGTATGTCTTGGCATGGCTAAAGGACCAAAATTTGATAATAACTGACTGCCATGGTCTGAATGGTTCCCCTAAATTCATATGTTGAAACTTAATTATCAATGTGATAGTATTAAAAGGTACAACCCCATGAATGGGATTAGTAACCTTATAAAAAGGCTGGAGGGAACTAGCTAGCCCCTTTTTTGCTTTTTCATCCCTTCTGCCATGTGAGGACATAGTGTTCAAGGTATCATCTTGGAAGCAGAGACTGGACTGTCACCAGACATTGAACATGTTGGTGCCTTGATCTTGGGCTTCCCAGCCTCTAGAACTGTGAGAAATAAATTTGTGCTATTTATACATTACCTAGTCTCAGGTATATTGTTATAGCAGCAAAAATGGATGAAGACACTGACATTTACAAATATAAAGTGGACTGAAAATAGTCACTATAACACATTAAGTTTCACTCCTATCTCAGTCTGTTCCTTGAGTGTAGAAGGAAGTCATGGACTTAGAGCTCTTTGAGATGCAAAGGACACACAGCCAATCTCACTGGCGTCAGAGATGGTCGGGGATGACTGTTATTATTGGCCTGTTATTAGTTGTAGGATTGAGAATTACTTTTGCATTTGCTTCCTCACAGTCTTTTTGGTGTTCCAGAACAATGTGGACATACTCATGGAATATGTGCTGTGTGTAACTGCTATGCATTATGTTGGTTGCATGGACAAAAGTTTGGAAGCTACTGGCACCCAGTCATACAGTACTTAGTTACTGCTTCAGTGGGGTGGCAAGTTTGCCTCTGAATTCTCCTGTGGTGACAATAAATAGATGAATGTTGTGAATGACAAGATTCTTAGTGCCCATGAGGTCAAAACAAAGCAGCTGCTCAGGTCTCACTATTTCTAGTGCTAAGATGTGAGAAGAATTCCTGCCATAGTGCTAATGCTCACCATTATATGTTGGGGCAGATGACATTTTCCAATTTATCCCTACATGAGAAACAGCAAAGGTCTCTGGGGTAACACAAAATCAGAGTAGAGTAAGTAGCAGTTTTACACAGGACAAAACAACATTGTATTAGTCCATTCTTGCAATGATATAAAGAAATACCTGAAACTGGGTAATTTACAAAGAAAAGAGGTTTAATTGGCTCGCTGTTCCACATGCTGTACAGGAAGCATGGCTGGGGAGGCCTCAGGAAACTTACAATCATGGCGGAAGGCAAAGGGGAAGCAATCATGTCCTACATGGCTGGAGTAGGAGGAAGAGGGTGAAACAGGAGGTGCTACACACTTTTAAACATCTAGATCTCATGGGAACTGACTCACTATCATGAGAACAGCAAGGGGGAAATCTGCCCCCATGATCCAATCACCTCTTACCAGGCCCCTCCTCCAACACTGGGGATTACAATTCGACAGGAGATTTGGGCAGGGACACAGAGCCCAACCATATCCTGTATCCTCCAAGATCCCAGTACCACTAAAATTTTTGTTTGTTTGTCTCTTTTGACCACCTCTATAACTCTTATGGATATTCATCAAATTCTGTATCAAAGAATTTAAGATTTAGTCAGTAAAATATAGCTATGATATGACACAGCACGATTCTGTGTAAAGCCAGCAAACTAACCAGCAGCCTCAGAAATTTTATGGTTCTTTCTATTGACAGTCTAAGGTCCTCCCTGGTTACCATTTCCCCAAAAGAACAATGAGGAATTTGGAGGTTATGCATTCTCGCAGTCTGGGGATCTGTGATAGTCACTCTGTTAGGTGTTTTTGAGCCACCAGGTTCCTCATAGCAGCTTTCAAATCTTTGTTCCTCGGGCTGTAGATGATGGGGTTGAGAATGGGGGTCACCACTCCATAGAAAATGGAGATGAGTTTGTCTGCAAGGTCCTGTTTGTCTGCTCCCATTGGGTCCTTAGACTTGGGCTTCCCATACATGAAGAGGATCATCCCATAGAAGACGATCACGACAGTGAGGTGGGCAGAGCAGGTGGAGAAGGCCTTTTTCCTCCCCTCAGCTGAGGGGATTCTCAGGATGGTGGCAATGATGAAGACATATGAGACAAAAATAAACAGGACTGGGAGTGCAAGGAAGATCATGTTGGTCACAACCATGCTGATCACGTTGATGCAGATGTCAGCACAGGCCAACTTTAGAACTGCCAGGATCTCACAGGTGAAGTGATTGATGACATTGTCCCCACAGAAGGGCAGTCACATTGCTAGGGATATCTGTACTACAGAGTTGGTGATACCAGCTGCCCAGGAGCCAACAGCCATGGGCATGTAGGCAGCCTTGCTCATGACCACAGGGTACCTAAGGGGGTTGCACATGTCCAGGTAGTGATCAAAAGCCATCATGCTCAGGAGAACACACTCTGTGGCTCCCATGGCAAAGGAGAGGAACATCTGTACTGCACAGGCTGAGAAGGAGATGGTTTTCCTGGGGGTCAGGAAGCTGTCAAGGATGAGGAGGTTGTATAGCAGATGTCCAGGAAGGAGAGGTTCCCCAGGAAGAAGTACATGGGTGTGTGCAGGCGGGAGTCAAGGATGGTCACCAGGATGAGGACCCCGTTGCCCAGCAGGATCACCAGGTACACCAGCAGGATGAACACAAAGAATGTCTTCTCCAGCTATGGGTGGGCAGAGAGGCCCAGGAGAACGAACCCCAACACAGGGGAGGCCTCATTGGACCTGTTCATGGTGCATCTGCTCTGTCACCTGGAGGAACTCAGAGGTCAACCTCAGCATCCTCTTACTCCAAAAGTACCTGGAAGGCCAGGCACAAATCCTTGCCCTGCTGAGCAACTGGAGAATAGCGCTGATGATTTGTTCATCTCTATGGGGTTCTAGGAACAATGTAGTACAGGTCAATATTTAACTTCTGCTTCTGGTAAGAACAAACAGGCTAATTTGGACTAACTGTCTTGCAGATGACCATTAGACAAACTGGAAAAAATACATAAAACATTGGAGAAGTAATAAGACAATGAGGAACATAGGGTTATGACTCTGGGGAAAAACAAGGACCTAGAGATGTAAGTCTAGCACTTGTGGCTGTGATTCAACTCGAGCATTTGCAGCTTCTGGAGGGAGCCAGGGAGAGGCTGGGAAGCATTACTGACAGCCTCATGGAGATGGGGAGTAAGTTTTGTTGTGAAAGACTCACCTTGAAAGGCCCCTCACTAAATGTTCTCCTTTTGGGATGGACTCTCAAAGGGCAGCACCATAGGAATAAGGGCAAATCAGAAGGAAACAGACATTTACAGATGCTGTAGTTCAGCTTCAAATCTTCCCAAGCCCTGAAATCGAATTGAGGTGATACCAAGTTTTGATGCTCCCAAATGCCTCACAGAAGCCAACATAGATCCACTTTGGAGGAAGATAACATCACCCTAGTCTCTAAATCATTTCCACAAATAATTTTGCAAACACAACATCTGGCACACACTAAAAAAGAATAAGGCACACAAGGAGACAAGAAAACAAATCAAAACTAACAGAAAAAAAGCAACAACAGAAAATAAAGCGTCTCCTGGGGCATGTAGCAGCCAAGAGGACAGCTCTAGTGGCACCTGCCTAGACAGCAAGCCCCGGGCACCCCGACACATCCGGTGCCAAGGTCTCAACATTTGGTTGATCCTTTTGTACATCTGTGGCAGCAAGTAGGCCCCTGTGCCCCATGGCCAAGTTGAATGACAGTTCCAACTGAACCTCCCGTCTTCTCTTCATTCTCCATTGCCTGCGGCAAAGGCATTAACTTGTTCCTGAGACTGTTCACAGAACCCTGGGTCCTGCTCTGTTACTTTTTTATTTAATGGAAAGGTTAAATCTCTCTTGACAAAGATTCTCAGATTTTCCAAACTTTGGCCAGGCATCTGAACCTTCTTCTAGGTACATCTGTGTCCTTGCTTATAAAATTCAGTTTCAGCAAAAAGCCCTGCTAAGTCAGTTCAGCAAGAACCCCCCTCCTCAATATCTGGTCATCTTCAATGTTTGATGAGGTTCCTCATCCTCCACCATCCCCAGGTGATGTCTGATTACCCTGTCCTCTCTTCAGCAAGAATTCTGTTAGGTCCATTTAGCCAGAATCCCCGTTACCCCCGATGCTTCTTCTTAGTAATTTTCTATCTACCTACCTCCAGCCCCCTCCTTGGCTAAAAATTCCCACTTGTGCCTGCTGTATTTGGAGTTGAGCCCAATTTCTCTCCCTCACTGCAAAATCCCATGGCAGTGGTCCCTATACATGTTGAGATAGTCCTGAATAAAGTCTGCTTTGCCGTGCTTTAACAAGTACTGATGAATCATTGTTTCCTCAACACTCCTCAGACTTCGAAGTGCTTCTCAAACTATGATTTGTTCTGGACCAGTAAAAAACTTGTAGGCAACTGAGCACTACAGTTTTATTAGAACTGTATCTAAAATACTTACAAACTTCCCAGATATCTATCTTTCCAAGAGCTCTCAGTAATCCAACCCCCTCCTCTGTTGTTGCAGCGATGCTTCCTGCCTCACGAGCTCCGAGATACTCCTATGTTGGTGGTTAGCACATTATAGCTGTGACCAAGTCAGTGCCATAATAATTCAGGTCAGGTTAACAGATATTTGTTGAGCGTCTACTCTGGGCCAGGCATAATTCTAGGTGCTGGGAACAAAGAGCTCAAAATCTAGTGGGGAAATAGTCATGCAAACAAATGCTTTCATCATCATCATCATCATCAACCATAACAATTACTTGAATGCTAAGGACAACAGGTCTTAGGGTCTATTTAGTAATTGCCCCCTTTCTAATGCAGAAAGCCCCTTACCACATTCCTGATAGTCCTAGAACCTAGATTTGACTATCTGAGTGATGTGAGGTTCTTTATCTCCTGGTAAGGCTCACTTCATTTTGAAGTAGTTACCCTGTGATATTGAGCTGAAATCTGTCTCCTTGCAACTTCTACCTGGCCTTGTCTTCTGGAGCCCCTAAAGGCAGTTAATCTCTCTTACACACAACTGCCTAAATATCTAGAAATAGTATGGTTTCAGCACGAAGATAAATAAGAATAAATCTCCCTTTTTCTCTTAAGGTCTTAAAAAAGTAGATATATCTCTTAGAGGCAAATGTATCAACCAGGAGCTCGCTACAAAGGCTGACACTAAGAATGGTCCCCAAGCTTGAGGATGGCTGAGGTGCCCGAGACACGCTGCTGCTGGGATGTGTGTGTTGGGCAGTGTATCAGTCCCCAGCTGGGTTTCTCACTGTAGGCTGGCCAGCCAACTCTCAAGAACCTGCAGATCATATGAAGAAAATATTCCCTCTATGTCATCATTATCAGATTCAGAAACATGCTTATTATTATTGCCAGACTTTGTATCTAACTATGAAGTGAGAAAGAGCCCAACAGTTTTTATCAAGAAAGGACAACCAATCGTGAGAAGGACTACCAGCTGTATGGTCCCTGGCAAGCCCCCATTTCCTCAGCATGATGGCAGGGTGAGGCCAGATGATCTCAGACATTCTTGCAGGTTGAGGAGGTCTATTTGATTTTGTGAGAATAATATCATACCAATGAAACAGCTTCACATCTGCCCTCCTCAAGCCCCCATTCCATTACAATCAAGTCTGATGATAGAAATGTAACCATGCTGTTGATTAATGGGTGAAAATATATGGTTTGATCGAAGGAATAAGACCTAGTGTTCAATAGGTCAGGAGGGTGACTATAGTTTACAATAAGCTACTATACCTTTCAAGATGGCTAGAAGAGAATAATTCAAATATTTCTAGCATAAAGACAAATGTTTAAAGTCATGGATATCCCAACTACACTGACTTGATCCTTGCAGATTATATGAATGTATTAAATTATCACATGTACCTTAAAACCATGTATATCTATTATGTATCAATAATAGATATTATGTATCTATTATGTATATCTATTATGTATCAATTTATTTAAAAAATAAATATAGCCAATGCTAATGAAAATTGTGGAATTCCTTTCACCAAAACTTGCCCTTACTTTTATAAAAAAACATCATGAGCAAGAATGATCGATTTTCCAAGGTTTGGAAAGAGGCTACATGTCAGAAACAGTGACACTGGGTCTGAACGCCAGGGTGAGGGCTCAGGACATGTGACAGGTGAAGGGTCCTTTCTGCTTCTCCTGCCTCATGTGCTTGGGGCACAATCTCCAAAGGACTGGCCATCACCCTTAGAAGATAATTTAAATTGCAGTTTATTCTTTGGGACCATTGTAGACCCTGAAGTCATTTAAGGTTTGGAAAGTGAGTTGTACTCAGTTTAGAAACTTTCTATCCTTCTGGGATAACATCCCCAAGAACAAATTATGTTGGCAGCACTGGAGGAAGTCAGCTGTCTGCTTCTTCTCCCCCTTCTTCTCTCCCTTCCTCTTTCCCTTCCTTCTTTCCTTGTCCCCTTTCTTTCTTTCTGAACATCATAATCTCATTAACAGGGTCCAACAATCTGTGGGTTAGTGATTCCAGGATTCATTCAAAGCCCAGGTGCTTTCTCCTGTGCTGCAGCCGAGCCCCGTCACCCCCAGTCTGTGCTTACGCAGTGGCTTGGGGCATCTGACTGAAAGACCTTTACTCTCCCTCTAAATGTTCATCTCATTGGATTAAACACCTTGAAGCAACCTGCTGTGTTCTGCCTCAATCCTCACTGGGCACCCAAGTCACTGTCCTTTCAGCTTCCTGTCATCTGTGCACGTGCTCCCAGACCTCTTACGAGTCATGGACAGAATGTGACCCAGGACAGGGATGAGTCTAGAGAATGGGGACATTCCTTTATTCAGCAAACAATTATTGAGCGTATGCTCCATAAAAGGCAGAAATGTGTAGAGTAACCCAGGGTCCATGCCCTCTGGGAGTGCATCCTCTAGCGGCAAAAGGCAGAAATGTGCAGAGTAACCCAGGGTCCCTGCCTTCTGGGAGTGCACCCTCTAGTGGCGAGAAAGAGGCACATGAAAAAAATACAGTTGACCCTCGAACAGCGCGGGGATTAGGGCGCCGATCCCCATTGCAGTTGAAAATCCCCAAAACAACTACTAATAGCCTATTGTTAGACTGAATGCCTAATCGATAACATAAACAGTAGATAAACACATATTTTGTATGTTAAATGTATTATTATACTGTATTCTCATAATAAAGTAAGCTAGAGAAAAGAAAATATTAAGAAAATCATGCTGGGTGCAGTGGCTCATGCCTGTAATCCAGAACTCTAGGAAGCCGAGGTGGGTGGATCGCCTGAGTTCAGGAGTTGGAGACTAGCCTGGACAACAAAGTGAGACCCTGTCTCTACCAAAAATACAAAAATTATCCGGGTGTGGTGGCATGTGCCTGTGTCCCAGCTACTCCAGAGGCTGAGGAGGGAGGATGGCTTGAGCCTGGGAGGCAGAGGTTGCAGTGAAACAAGTTGGTGCCACTGCACTCCAGCCTGGATGACAGAGCTAGACCCTGTCTCTCTCTCTCTCTCTCTCTCTCTCTCTCTCTCTCTCTCACACACACACACACACACACACAAATCACAAGAAAGACAAAACATGTTTACTGTTCGTTAAGTGGAATGGGTCATCATAAAGGTCTTCATCCTCCTTGTCTTCACATTGAATAGGCTGAGGAGGAGAAGGAGAAGGAGGAGGGGTTGGTCTTGCTGTCTGAGGGTGGCAAAGGAGGAAGAGGTGGAGGAGGTAAAAGGGAGGCAGGACAGGCAAGCACATTCGGTGTAACTTTATAGAAATACATGGTAATTTCTGTCTGACTTTTTAGCTTTGGGAATTGATTAGCCTTTGGCTACATGGGACATAATCACTTCCTCTTTCATGACAGACAGTCTACAAGTACACAAGGGTAAAGAATATTTCCCAAAGCATGTTTGGCCATTGGGATGTCCTTTAGCGGTGATGTGGCAGAACTTGGAAGACTCTTCATGCTCCCTAGTGTACACCAGGCAGATGGCAAAGATTGAATTCAGGAGGGAAGTCAATGAACCTGATGCCCTGAAGGAAATGTTTCAGAGTTGGTAGAGTGTTCTAAGATTTCTGAGGCCAAATACAAAAGTAAAGATGTAAAACTTCTTTGTATAAAAGATAAGCAGAACTCCAGCTAATATGTCAATATCTGACATATCTGTCCTAATTGGAACAAGCTTTTTACCAACTCAGGAAGCTTGCAGAGAACAATGATTCCCATCACTGTGGCTCCTAAGTGGAGAGAGAGAACATAAGGATGTTTCTCAAAGCTCCAATATTCTGCAGGGATCATCTAAGACATTAGAATTTACTGTGGACCCAAGGGGTATGATTCTAGAGACCTGTGAGTAGTCACAGAATGAAAAAAGGAAGTGAGGAAGAAGCTAACCATGACAACAAAGTGTTTTCAGTTCAAGAATGAGATACAGAGTAAGTTCAGGAAACCGAGCTCACTAGTCATCATTTTGATTCCTGCTCTTTGCCACTATGATCATAAAGGCTAACTCTACTATGGAAAAATGAGGGACATAGTTGAAAGAACTATTGACAAATAATGTTACCACTGAGTTTCCATCCAGAATGAAAATAATGAATGCAGATGAGTTCTGGAACATGAATTAGACAAACTAAGGGGGATTCAAACATCAAGATTCAAGTTCACGATTCACCAGGAAGCCTATTAGCATTTCATCTCGTAAATGGATACCACCAGATCCTTGAGGCTGAAGAGAAAAAGAGTTACAAAACCACTTATAAGTGCACACACACATTATGCATATGGATATGTGAATAGAGCTATGCACATGGACACACCCAGAGAAAATAAATGACACAAGTTAATTTCCAGAGTTCAGAACAAAACTGGACATCCCAGGGAAGGAAGCTTTTAAAGTTTAGAGGAGAGAGAGTTCTATGGGCAGAAATTGCCATGGGAAATTTCCTGGAGGAGATGATTCTTTGCCAGGTAAGCCAAAGGGATCTCTGACACATTGACAGACACACAGTGTTCACAGCAGGTAGTAGAAGGAGTAATGTGCCCAGTTCAGAGCCGTATCTTCAGTGTAGCTGCACTTATCTACAGTGATTTATTGTCCTTCTGTCTCTGAAGGGCTGATACTCAAAAGAGGAAGTGATTATGTCCCATGTAGCCAAAGGCTAAGCTAACACCCAGGCTATAAGTGCAGGGAGATAAGCAGACTTTGACCCAGGATGAGAAAATACTTGTTGAACACTAATGTCCTCTGGCAATAGGAAAGACTTTTGAGGAAGTAGAGGGCTCCCTTTCACTGAACCATTGTTTTCTAGATATTTTACCTCTTTCTTTCCTTGGCTTCTTCCTCATACTTCATAACCGTCCTCTACATATTAGTTATTTATTGTTGTATAACAAACTTCTTCAAAACTAAGTGGCTTAAAACAACACACATGTTGTCTCACAATTTCTGTGGGTCAAGATCTGATTATAGATTAACTGGATCCTTTGCTTCAGGGTCTTTCACAAGGCTATAACTAAGGTTTTGACTAGGGGTGGGATCTCATCTGAAGGTTCAACTGGGGAAAGGTTTACTTCCAAGCTCACTTAGGTAGTTGGCAAGATTCAGTGCCTTGAGAGTTGTTGGGCTGAGGTCCTGAGTAAGTTGGCCAGAGACCTCTCTCTGTTCCTTGCCACATTTGTCTCTCCAATCTGGAAGTTTGTTTCACTAAAGCCAGCAAGTGAGTGTATTCTTTTGGTTAAATGCAAGTTACTCAAGGGGAGAGGATGACACAAAGCCATGAATACCAGGAGGCAAGAATCACTAAAGCCATCTTAGACGCTGCCTGTCATACTCCAGATTCCACCAACATAGAATGTCTTCCCTGGACTCTGTGCTATCCCTCCTGTTCCATGAAGCTGTTCAAACAAATGCTTTGTTGAGGTTGTGGAAGAAACAAGCAAGCCAAGGGCTGTGCCAAGCTCTGTCCCCAAGATAGTCTTCTCCTTCCTCCCATCCCTTGCTTGTCTCTTCATGTGTAAATTCTCCCCCATTGTTCAAGGACTTGTCAGAGACTGACTCCCCATTAAGGTCTCCCCAGGGCTTTATATAGAAGTTCCCCCAAAATGTCCACAGCCATGCCCCTGAGCACTTGATTTGGAATCACTGTGCCCACAGCTGCTGGTCCCATAGTGCATGGACAGAGGGCATTCCTAAATAACATTTAGCTCTCCAGCTTCTTTTCAAGAATTTTTAGCATTTTGAAGTTTGCAGAAATTCAAAAAGGACATGAAAATGCTTTCTCTAACATCCCTCAATAGTCTAAGTGTGGAAAGTTCCAACAGGAAGAAAGGAAGGAGGAAAAGAAGTCTTTCTGGAGTGCTTTTGGCATAATTGGATCTTGGGGACATTGTCTCAGAAGTATAAAAACTTTCCTGACTGTGTGCAATTCTACTTCCAAACTTTTAATCACTTCAGGGAGCATAATGGTCCCAATCGCAGCACTGATTTCAAATTGCCTTTTTCATGTTCTGGTTATTCATTTGGAAATTTTGCTTAAAACATAAAACCAAGACTGAGTAGGAAGAACTAGCTTTCACTCTTTTCTTCAAATCAGAGGTGGCCATCTCAACCTGAGTCTTTCAAGCTAGTGCTGCTATTTCTTGCCCACACACTGTTCCTACGCCATGGCCACATCTTCTCAGTAGGTTCCTGACAAAGGTAAGTGAGGGCTCTTATAAGAGTAATACTTAACCTTTTTATTAGCACAATAACATTCCTAACTTCTGACTTGATTTTCTAAAGGGATTGGGACTTGAGAAGGGAAGGAATGAAGCAATTTCAGCGCTATCACAAAGATTGAGGCCCATGCAAAACTCTTTCTTCTTAGGTCAGAAAATCTAGATGGCAAGAAGCCTATGAATCTTTTCAGTCTTAGGTCATGGACTTACCTAACTTTATAGACTCCCCCAGAAATAAGATGGTCGTATGGTTTCAGAGCCTCTTCTGTTGACCTTTCACAAACTCAGGCAATTCCAGAAGGAGGTGAAACACCATCACATGAATGAGAGAAACTCAGAAGGCTGCTGGCTTGGTTTAGAATAAAGAATGTTCTGACACTTCAGAGCTCTGTAAATAGGAAGCAGGCTGTTTGGGAATGTAGTGAGCTCTTCATCACTAGAAGAGAACAAGCTGAAAACCCATGCATCAGTGTTCTGCAGAGGAAGATCTAGAATGGGACAGAGGGTGGGACTAGATTTATTTGGGGGGCATAATCACTGTCAGGATCTACATCTGGGTGACATACTTAGGTTCAAGAACTCTTGATTCCTGTGTAGACACTCACCCCGACTGCCTTAGTTACCAAAGAAAACTATAGAGTTCCAGAAATTGTGAGCCACTGTGGGTTTCTGGGGCCAGCCTCCTATTTATCTTCATGAAACATCAGATTCAAATATTAGAGACATATTGAAATTTCCAGAGCATGAAGTTACCTTGGAACCCTCTCCCCTTTCCCTTGCATCTCTCCATGTCCAGTCTCCTCTTTTCCTGAAAGACCCAGCTGGGGCTGGTGTTGCCCATGAGAAAGATCTTGGGCAACAACTGGAGTTTGTTTTATATAAAAATTGTCTAATGAGAAGAAATAGTTATAAGGTGAGGATTCACAATTAATCAAGTCACTAGTATTTGGCACAAAGTTGGGGGAACATGGAGCAAACTTTAAGTCACCTTTCTGATCAAAGTTTAACGAGATAAATTGCCTTGTAGGATATAGCATCCCTAAATGAATGTGTTATGTGTTTTCGTCACTGATCACATGTGTTACATTATCATAGTCATCATTTTAAACCTTGTGCATTCGGTGTCCTGTGGCCCCAAAATAATTTTTTATTTTGTTGTCTCTTTTTTCTTGGAAATAAATATTGTGGACTTTCAAAACTGTTTTCTAATGTCTTAGCCAGACTGGAACCCCAGACCAGATGCACTGGTCCTATGCAAGGCAAAGAATGTTGAGTTTGGACCTCTTAAGTATTTCCTTCAGTTGACAGAGGAGATACACTATGGTAAGTGCCAATCAGACAGCCTCTGTGACCGAGTTTATTCTCCTGGGCCTCTCTGCCCACCCAAAGCTGGAGAAAACGTTCTTTGTGCTCATCCTGCTGATGTACCTGGTGATCCTACTGGGCAATGGGGTCCTCATCCTGATGACTGTGTCCAACTCCCACCTGCACATGCCCATGTACTTCTTCCTGGGGAACCTCTCCTTCCTGGACATCTGCTATACAACATCCTCAGTCCCCCTCATCCTTGACAGCTTCTTGACCCCCAGGAAAACCATCTCCTTCTCAGCCTGTGCAGTGCAGATGTTCCTCTCCTTTGCCATGGGAGCCACAGAGTGTGTTCTCCTGAGCATGATGGCGTTTGATCGCTACGTGGCCATCTGCAACCCCCTTAGGTACCCTGTGGTCATGAGCAAGGCTGCCTACATGCCCATAAGGCTGCCGGCTCCTGGGTAGCTGGAAGCACTGCTTCCATGGTGCAGACATCCCTTGCAATGAGGCTGCCCTTCTGTGGAGACAACATCATCAACCACTTCACCTGTGAGATTCTGGCTGTCCTGAAGTTGGCCTGTGCTGATATCTCTGTCAATGTGATCAGTATGGGAGTGACCAATGTGATCTTCCTGGGGGTCCCGGTTCTGTTCATCTCTTTCTCCTATGTCTTCATCATTGCCACCATCCTGAGGATCCCCTCAGCTGAGGGGAGGAAAAAGGCCTTCTCCACCTGCTCTGCCCACCTCACAGTCGTGGTCATCTTCTATGGGACCATCCTCTTCATGTATGGGAAGCCCAAGTCTAAGGACCCGCTGGGGGCAGACAAGCAAGACCTTGCAGACAAACTCATTTCCCTTTTCTATGGGGTGGTGACCCCCATGCTCAACCCCATCATCTACAGCCTGAGGAACAAGGATGTAAAGGCTGCTGTGAGGGACTTGATATTTCAGAAATGCTTTGCCTAGTGATGTTTGGGGGAACAGATGTCCTCATAGCTCTTTGCCTCTTGGTTGCTTTCACCCACAAATCTCAGAAGAGCATGCTCCCTAAAGAAGATACATGTGAAGAATGACTACCAGAAAATTGAAATACTCATGTAATAGAGCACTTTAGCTGTGATTGGACCCAATTAAAATGTTGAAACCTAGAACCCAGGGGGAGTGTGTCTTGAGGGGATGGAAGCAGAATGCTGCTGGATACACAAGGAATGACTTTTCTGTTTCTCCACTGTTCAAGTCTGAATTCACCTTTGTGAGCAGATGGTTCCTCTGTTTCGGGAAAAACACCCTCGGGTACCTTTCTGTTACAAAAATGTAAAGCCAAGATTCTACTCTTGAAAGGAGGCACTGAAGACACCATGGGACAGAACTTCATGACCCTGCCCACCTCCCTAGCACAGTGCTTCCCAACCTGTGTCTTGCCATGGAGCACGTAGAAAACCATGGGATGTGTAGGCACCCTGGGGTGAGTGGATGAGTCTTTTCATGGCTGAAGGCAATTCACCTGGGGGCTTAGGTCACTACAGGTTCTGCTTAGTAATCCCAGGAGGACTCTGAGCTTGGTACATCTGTACCCTGTGGCACATTAGCTGAAATGTTCTGCCTGAAGCAGAATGTGTCTTCCCTTAGCCCCTGCTGAAAGGACAGTCATGCTCTCTCCTTTGGCTATAGATAATTGGCGAGTTGACCCAAACTGGGCAAACCATATTTTCTGTCCAAGGAATTTGGAATTTGGACGTAGAGACACCTCATAGTTGGCACAAAGCTCTTGAACTCATAGACCACGTAAAGGGGGCACAAATGTGGCCCTGTGTCTAGCAAGGAAGAGAAAGCTGGTCTGCAGAGAGAAAGGATAAAGCAAATGCAGAAAGAAGACCAGACCTACATGAAACAGAAATAAAGCCTGCAATATTTAGGCTAGGTATTGGAGAAGGTTTTTTCTTTTATTTTATGGGAAAATTTAATCTTGTAGAAAGAATAATAGGTATTCATCTTCCAGATCCAAAGATGATCTGCTCATGGCTGGTGTGTGTGTGTGTGTGTGTGTGTGTGTGTGTGTGTGTGTAATTTTTAATTTTTTAAATTTTCCTGGGTACATAGTAGCTATATATATTTATGGAGTATATGGGATATTTAAATACAGGCATGCAACGTGTAATAATCACATCAGGGTAAATGGGGTATCCATCACCTCAAGCATTTATCCTTTGTGTTACAAACAATCCAATTATACTCTTTTAATTATTTTAAAATGTACAATTAAATTATTTTTGACTATAATCATCCTGCTGTGCTATCAAATACTAGTTCTTATTTATTCTATTTTTTGTACCCATAAGCCATCTCCATTTCCCCTCTACCCTCTCATCACTGTTCCCAGCCTCTGATAACCATCATTCTACTCTCCATCTCCATGGGTTCAATTGTTTTAACTTTTAGCTTCCACAAATAAGTGAGAACATGCAAAGTTTGTCTTTCTGTGCTGCTTATGGCCAATCTTGTTCTTCCATAGCCCTGTGGATTATTTCTCCTTCTCCTTAATTATTCTAAAGCAAATCCCAGATGGTAATAACATTCCATCTTGAAATATTTTAGTATTTATATCCAAAAAAGATTAGTACTCTTGGAAAAATATAAAGTACCATTTAACATTTAACATATAAATCACCTAAAACTAATTCCTTGATATAATCAATTATCCAGCATTTATATTTCCAGAAATGTCTTATACATTATTTATTTCAATTTTTAAATTGAACCAGGATCCAAATAACGGCATACATTGTGATTTGTCTCTGATATGGTTTGGCTGTGTCCCCACCCAAATCTCACCTTGAACTGTAGTTCCCATAATCTCCACGTGTTGTGGGATGTCATGGGAGGGACCTGGTGGGAGGTAATTTAATCATGGAGGTGGTTACCCTCATGCTGTTCTGATGATAGTGAATGAGTTCTCATGAGATCTGATGGTTTTTTAAGGGCCTTTTCCCCCTTTTTCTTGGCACTTCTCCTTGTTGCTGCCATGTGAAGAAGAGTATGTTTGCTTCCCCTTCTGCCATGATTGTAAGTTTCCTGAAGCCTCCCCAGCCATGCTGAACTGTGAGTCAATTAAACCTCTTTCCTTTATAAATCACCCAGTCTCAGGTATGTCTTTATTAGCAGTGTGAGAATGGACCAGTACAGTCTCTTTCAATCTACATTTCCCCCTCCCTTTTTCTATCTTTCCCTCTACCTCTGTTCCTGCCGCCACCACCCTGCTTTTAGGCTAGATTTTTTTTTTGGAAGGAATAGTTTCTCAATATGGAAAACTATAAAGTTTACCACAGTCTGATTTTGCTGATTGCAATTCTGTGGTGTCTGTCTTTGTGTTTCCCATACATTGATGCCTAGATCTAGTTACTTAATTTTTTTTTTTTTACTGGAGTTATGAGCTCATGGCTCCTGAGACCTTTTGCATGACGCTAGTATCTTTGATGACTTCCTGCTATCTGATATGTCAAGATATTACAAGCTCAATATTCACTCTTCCTTCCCAGACCTGAAACAACTATTTTGTCTAACGAGCTCTTTTTTCGTTTAATGGGGAATGGTATTTAGAAGTCATAATCTGGGTGCTAGGTTTACTATTGAGTTTCCCATGGTTTCTAAATGTTTCAGTGGAAAGAGCTATGAAAAAATATATATAATTGAATTATATGTATGTATGATATATAAATATATATTTAGATTTAGATCAAATATATAAATCATACATACAGACAGACAATTCAAATTAAGAGCTATGGATTTTTTACCTAATCTCATTGATTTTATACCTGTATCTCCTTCTTCTATGTACTGTCTCCTCATTCCAGAAATGTTTGGAGATGGCTTGAAGTTATACACACATAATGATGTCAGGAGTTAACATTGAGCACACCTTCTGTAAAGAGCAGAATTCAATCAAGTCATCCAGTGGTGTGTGTCTGGGAGTACTGGGGCTGACCATAACAGTTGAGGTGATGATGTGGGCTGTAGGCCCTTTTCTCTCGCTTGTTCCTGAGCTTCCTGCAGGAGATCTGAGTCTGGGAGTGAGGCATTGGGTGGCAGTGGGCTAGGAAAGAGTTGCAAGATAAATTCAAGCCTGGAAAGAAAGATTCCAGACTGGAACCTCAGGGCATCTTGCAGCTTGGGAATGATTTTCCTAAATCTTGATGAGGGCAGTCACAAGCCCCTGCTCACCAGGGCACTTTGGCAAAGAAGGGGACATGATGCAGACAAGAAGGAAGCTGGCAGATCACCTCTAAATGGCGTCCAAATTCCTGAATTCTGCATGCCTGCTCTGTTCAAAATAGATGTTTCCAATATGTAAGAGCCACTTAGAAAAAAGAGGTTTGTTAAATATTTGGAAGGATGGAGTCACAGTCAAAAACTACATATCTGGGGTCCATGGTTGCCAACATTTTAATATCATGCTTCCTTACAATTTAAACTGTATTTGTTTATTGATTTATAATATATACCTATATACTTATAGGTATATATTATATACTTATAGGTATATATTATAATACCTATATACTTATATTATAATAATATATTATATATATAATATATATTATATAAATATATATATATAATATATATAATAGGTATATATTATAATACCTATATATTTATAGGTATTCTACTGTACCAATATGTTATGGACATTTACAATGTTTACAAAAATAGAAGTTCAAAAAGATAGGACAAAGATAAAATTTTTTTTAAAAAAAGAGCAAACATGGGACAAAATCAGAAGAAAATGAGGGTAGGCCACAGATTCATTCATTCATTTATTCAGCATCTATGTATTGAGAGTCAGTTGTGAGTGAAGCCCTATTTTTATACTAAGGAAACATCTGTGAACAATACAGAAAAAAACTTACCTCTGTGAAACTTGTATTCTAACAGGAGAGAAATAAGCAATAAACAATTACAAAAATAAATAGGATGTTAGAAATTTTATGGAATCAAGACTGCATAAAGGATAACTGAACACATGCATCTAATTTCATTCCTCCTAAAACCCATGAAAACTATAGTCTTTCTTTCTTTCCAATAAAATCTACAAGGTTAAGCAGAAGAAGTAAGATATCAACAGCAAGAACATTGTGAAAGTTAGGAAGCAGATGAACTAGTGCTAATTGCCATAGCAGATCTGACAGAGCCAAATCCCAAGCCAGAAACTTGGAAAAGTAAGTGTCTTACTCCATTTTCTGCTGCTTTAACAGAATATTTGAGACTGGGTAATTTATAAATAATAGACATTTATTTGGCTCACAGTTCTGGAGGCTGTGAAGTCCAAGAGCATGACACTGGCATCTAGTGAAGGCCTTCGTGTTGCATCATCCATGGCAGAAGGTGAAAGAGCAAGCAAGTACATGAAACAAGGAGAGAAAGGAGGCCAAACTCCTGCAATAACTCACTCCTGCAATAATGGCATTAACCCCTTCATGAAGGCTGAGCCCTCTTGGCTTAATCACCTCTTAAAGGTCCCATCTCTCAGCACTGTTACCATGGCAGTTAAATTTCACCATGAGTTTTTGAGGGGATATTCAAACCACAGTAATTGATAACAACTAGATTTGTAGCACAGAGAAACTCACTGTACCAAGTACCTCTAGGACCGGGGTGAAGGAAGTACTACTAAAAAAGGAAGACTAGGTGACAAATGTATAAGAAACAGAGTCCCTACACCCCTTCATTCATTCCATGACATTAGTCAACTATCTCTTGCCTACCCCAACAAAACTTTTATTCTCTGGAGGGTAAAATCATGGCTCTCTGGACTGGCAGACAACAGCCACAGTTGAGAGTATGGGTACTTTACTCTTTCATGGAGTAAAAAAACAATTAGCATAAAAGATCAGGAATCAAAATGGCTTCTGATTGCACCAGAATTACCTTCAAATTCAGAGGGAAGATGATTTCCAATAAGTTCCTAGAATTCCACACACTACTGTGTTGATTAACTTTATGTGTCAACTTGACTGGGTCATGGGGTGCCCAGATATTGGGTCAAATATTATTCTGGATATGTCTGTGAGGGAGAACCTGGATGAGATTAATATTTGAATGCATAGATGGAGTAAAGCAGATTATCCTCCCTAATGTACTAAGCCTCATTCAATCAGTGAAAGTCTTGAATAGAACAAAAAGGATGAGTAAGAGGGAACTTCTCCTGCCTTTGAGCTGGGACATTAGTTTTTTCATCAGCTCTCCTGGGCCACCAGCCTGCTGACTGCAAATCTTGGGACTTGTCAGCCTCCATAATCAGATAAGCCAGTTCCTTATAACACGTACACACACACACACACACACACACACACACACACACACTATTAGTACTGTTTCTCTCAAGAACCCTGGCTAATACACCCACCAAATTATCACTCAGGAGGTTAAATAAAAATATGTTCAGACACATAAGATCTCAAAAATGTGTATATAATACACTTTTTCTCAAGAAGTTATTCAAGGCTGAGTGAATGGCTTATGCCTGTAATCCCAGCACTTTGGGAAGCTGAGGTGGGTGGATCATCTGAGGTCAGGAGTTCAGGACCAGCCTGGTGCCCATGGCAAAACCCCACCTCTACTAAAAATACAAAAGTTAGCTGGGTGTGGTGGCATGCGCCTGTAATCCCAGCTGCTCAGAAGGCTGAGGCAGGAGAATCACTTGAACCATGGAGGCGGAGGTTGCAGTGAGCCAAGATTGCGCCATTGCACTCCAGCCTGGGTGACGGAATGAGATTCCATCTCAAAAAAAAAAAAGAAGTTATTCAAGAAAGTGCTCTATCAAAATAAGAGAATAAACCAAGAAATAGAAAGAAACTGACAAAAGAAACAGAAGTTCCAACCCATAAGAGAGGTGTAAGGAGTCCCCAGGACAGTAAAAGGAGATCCTGGCATGACAGTTGTACACCCTGCAGAGAAGACAGCCAGCCCAGAGGGCAGCCCTATGACTCCAGAGACAGGCATGTCAAGGGCTCTTATTCATAGACCCCTGCTGCCTATGGTGATTAACTTGAGGACAGAATGCCCCAGACAGCCTGGCCCACATTCTTTCCTGCACTGGCCTTATCTTGGCCATGCATGTATAAAATGCCCTCTTCTCTCTCCATGTCTTGCTGACTGGGTTAGTAGAGGACACTCATTCCACTCCAGAGAGTATTCTGCTTTGATCTATTCCCAAGAGTGGGAAGAGGGCCATACTCAGAGCTTAGAAGCAGAAAACATAAAACAATCCACTCTCTCTGATGATATTTCTGCCAGATGTCTGGTACCTGGCCACACTGCAGCACTGTCTGACTTACCCGGAAGGGACTATTGAAACTGAGAGCTTAGATTCTCAGGAGAGTCTTCCCCAAAACAGTGACAATATTTTTTTTTCATCAAAAAGCTAGATTTGCCAGTCAGAATGACTATTATTAAAAAGTCAAAAAATAACAGATGTTAGTGAGGGTGAGAAAAAAGGGAAACATTTGTACATTGTTGGTGGGAAGGCAAGTCAGTGCAACCTCAATGGAAAACAGGATTGAGATTTCTCAAAGAACTAAAAATAGAACTACCACTCAATCTACTTTTTTACAGAATTAATTCTTTTTTTTTTTTCTGAGACAGAATTTTGCTTGTATTGCCCAGGCTGGAGTGCAATGGCGCAATCTCTACTCACTGCAACCTCCACCTCCTGGGTTCAAGTGATTCTCCTGTCTTAGCCTCCCGAGTAGCTGGGATTACAGGCATGCGCCACCACGCTTGGCTAATTTTTGTGTTTTTAGTAGAGATGGGGTTTCACCATTACATAATTAATTCTTTTCCTTTATGTAGATACCACTACTGGGTATCTACATAAAGGAAAAGAATTAATTACGTAAAAAAAGATACCCACACTGGTACATTTATTGCAGCATTATTCACAACAGCAAAGATGGAATAAATCTAAGCATCTATAGATAGATGATTGGATAAAGAAAATGTCATCTACGTACACAATGGAGTACTCTTTGGACATAGAAACGAAGGCAACCATGTATTTTGCAGCAACATGGATGGAACTGGCCATGTTGGATGTCCAGTCTCTTAAGTTATGCAGCCCGGAAACAGAAAGTCAAATACCAGTGTGTCCACATGGACATAAAGTGTGGAATAATTGACATTGGATACTAGGAAGTGTGGGATGGTGAGGGGGGCTGAGGGAGGAGAAGTTACTTAATTGGCATAATGTACATTATTTTGGGTGATGGTTGCACTAAAAACCCAGACTTCACCACAACTCAGTATATCTGTGTAACAAAACTTCACTTGTACCCCTTAAATGTATTGTTTTAAAAAGCTAGGTTTGTAATTGTCACTCCATTTTTCAAAATGGAACAATTCATTGTACACCAATACATTGTAGAAGGTAAAACTGTGAAGGAAATAAAGGGAATATATATTAGCTTTCTCTTGTTGCATAATAAACCACCCCAATATCAGCAGCTTAAAACACCTAATTATTAGCTCACAGTTCTGGAAGTGAGAAGGTTGGGTGAGTTAGGCTGGGCTCTGAGAAAAAGTCAAGTTCATTGGTATTGGTGGCAGAATTCAATTCCTTGTGTTTTTTAGACTATGGTCCCAGTTTCCTTGCTGGCTGTCACCAGGGCTCATGCTTAGCTCCTTGTGGCAGCTCTCTGGTTCTTGTTTGCGGCTCCCTCCATCTTATAATCAAGAAACAGCATGTGGAATTCTTCCCACACTTTGAATCTGGCTTCTCCTTCTGCTACTAACCAGAGAAAACTGTTTTTAAAGGGCTCACTTGATTAGTTAGGTCAGACCTCGCTGGATAATCTTCTAATCTTAAAGACAACTGATTTGGAGCTTTAGTTACATTGACAAAATCCCTTCACAGCAGTACCTAGGTTAATGTTTGATCACCACACGAAGGGAATTATGTGATCATATGGGGATCATGAAGATTCTGCCTACCACAAAATGATTTCCATAGAAGTCAAAATAGTGGTCACTTCTGGAAGGGAGGGAATAAGGAAATTTAATTGGATAGGGAAATAAGAGGGGCTTCTAAGGTTCTGGAACATCCTAATTTTAACCTGGGTTGGGGGGGGGGACATGGTAGTATACTTTCTTATTTTTCCTTAAATGGTATACATATGCTTTTTACATTCTTTTGTGTGTGTAATATATCTCACAAAAAGAAAAAAATTCAATGCAAGACAAAATGGCTTATGACTACGAATGTGGCATGTATTTGATTCTAGGATTTTTAGAGCTAGTGTATGTATAAGGCAGGCATGTTCCTTTGTGAAAGAGGTGGTTAGGATTGCCCAAGTGTTTTTGCTAACACTGGGCAGGCTCTTCTTGCACACCAAGAACATCTGTGGAATGAGAGCTCATCATATGTGCCACCTACCATCTCCGGTATTCAAATTAAATGGGAAAGGGAAAACTGGAATGTGATTAAGAAACTATAGTGTATCAGAAAACAGTGGTCCACATTGAAGATGCTTCTGGCTGCTGCTTGGGCAGTCACAGCTCTCAGCTTTGGATCTTAGAAGTGGAGGTTACCAGATCCCAGTGGTAAATCAGCGATGCTCTCACAAATGCACAGATATAGTATACTCATGCACACACACACAGGAAAAGACTGAGCTGTTCGCAACAGGACACCACTTCCGTGATCAACTGTTCTTTTTTAAGTCCACAGCTGCCTTGCCTCTGAAACTCTCTGGTAGAAGCCATGACCAGATTCACTTATGACCCTTTAAAGGTCTGGTCTGGGTAGGGTATGCCTAGCAGAACCTATTTGGTGGGATGCAGACAAGAGATCTTCTGGGTCACTGGCTTTCATACAAACCTGAGATCCTGAACCCTTTGAATTTGTAAATGGCCAAGGGGACTAACCCACAAGGATTCGTCCTGTGTGGTTTCCTATTCCCCCAGATCTATCATGGACTCTGGTGACAGTTCTCATGGACTGGGGGTTCTTGTTAATTTGGGGAGGGCCAGGATGATCCTTCCGCTCTAATACTTTCCAATAGCCCAGCAAAATGGGTAGGAAGAGAGGGAAGGAGAGAAGAAAGTATTTCTGGAGAGACTTCAGAGTAATTGGATCATGGGGACACAATCCCAGATGTATAAGAAGTTTCTTGACTTGGTAACTTGAATTTCCAAACTTTAAATGACTTTGGGGACTAGAATACTCCAAATAGCAGGATGGGATTTAAGTGGCTTTGTATGAGCAATGATTAGTCTTTTGTGGATTTTACCAAAACACAGAACAAAGACAAGAAAACGTCCACCCATTTCAGGCACTAACTCATCTGGCTGCTGCTTTCTGACCAGATTGGCTATTTTTGGCTTCTGGACTACTCCCAGATCCCAGAGAAGTAATTTGAATCAACACATTTGTTGAAAAGGTAAGCGAGCACTTTTAAAAGAATATAGAAACTCTTGTGGGCCCAGCTCCATCCCCGGTAGCATACCTGGTGACTAAGTGGCATGGGGGAATTTTGAAGGAAATAGAAAAGGATGTCTCCATGGTGCAACAGTCCAAGAATGAGAAATTCATGAGATCATTTAGTCCCTGGGATGGAATATCTCTGATAATAATCTATTCCAAAGTAAGCATCCAGGAAATGAAGTTCAGAGAAGAAAAAGGACTTCACGATGCCCATGCATTGATTGGTTGGCAAATGCCAGTCCTGTAAATATGTGCTCCAGAAGAGTCTGGCAAGTGAGTGAGTGAATGAATGGGTGGACAAATAGCCCAGGGTTCTGTAGATCTTGGAAGTGCTAGTAAAGAGGAGGCAGAGAGCATCTGAAATTGCTCACAGGCCGGGTGCCATGGCTCACGCCTGTAATCCCAGCATTTTGGGAGGCCAGGGTGGTAGGATTGCTTGAGCCCAGGAATTTAAGCCCAGCCTGGGCAACAAAGTGAGACCTCGTCTCCAGAAAAAATTAAAAATTAGCCAGGTGTAGTGGCATACGCATGTGGTCCCAGCTACCTGGGAGACTGAGGCAGGAGGATTGCTTGAGCCTGGAGTTTGAGTCTGCAACGAGCTGTATTTGCCCTACTGCACTCCAGCCTAGGTAATGGAGTAAGACTCTGTCTCAAATAATAATAATAATAATTTTTAAAAGTGCTCACAGAGCAGAATGGTCAGGGATTGAGGATGAGGAGTACCAGTTTTTTCTACCAGTCCTAGGTCCCAAGGGGAAAAAACATACAAATGGAATATAACATTTCTTGCCAAAATTGAACCAAATGAATCATCCACACATGTAACTTGAAGTAAATGTGTGATGCCTGTCTTAAATGTGATGAGGAAAATTAAATCTAATCAGGTGACATTTGAAACCTCTCTATGGGGTGGCCAAATACCACCAAGTAGATTTTGATCAAATTTCCTGCATTTTACTTAAAGCAATATCGAGAAACCTTTGAATTGTCAGAGCTGTTCTCCAATTGCTCAGCAAGTCTGGGCTTCCTCACTGGCTGTCTGGGCACTTTAGGCATCAGAGAATCATGGAGCTGGCCCTCTGAGTTTGTACAAGTGACATAGAAACACCATGGTCAGTTCCAATCAGACCTCCCCTGTGCTGGGGTTCCTTCTCCTGGGGCTCTCTGCCCATCCAAAGCTGGAGAAGACATTCTTCGTGCTCATCCTGCTGATGTACCTGGTGATCCTACTGGGCAATGGGGTCCTCATCCTGGTGACCATCCTTGACTCCCGCCTGGACACACCCATGTACTTCTTCCTGGGGAACCTCTCCTTCCTGGACATCTGCTATACAACCTCCTCATCCTTGACAGCTTCCTGACCCCCAGGAAAACCATCTCCTTCTCAGCCTGTGCAGTACAGATGTTCCTCTCCCTTGCCATGGGAGCCACAGAGTGTGTTCTCCTGAGCATGATGGCGTTTGATCGCTACGTGGCCATCTGCAACCCCCTTTGGTACCCTGAAGTCATGAACAAAGCTACTTATGTGCCCATGGCTGCTGGCTCCTGGGTAGCTGGAAGCCTCACTGCCATGGTGCAGACACCCCTTGCATTGAGGCTGCCCTTCTGTGGAGACAACATCATCAATCACTTCACCTGTGAGATTCTGGCTGTCCTGAAGTTGGCCTGTGCTGATATCTCTGTCAATGTGATCAGTATGGGAGTGGCCAATGTGATCTTCCTGGGGGTCCCTGTTCTGTTCATCTCTTTCTCCTATGTCTTCATCATTGCCACCATCCTGAGGATCCCCTCAGCTGAGGGGAGGAAAAAGGCCTTCTCCACCTGCTCTGCCCACCTCACTGTCGTGATCGTCTTCTACGGGACCATCCTCTTCATGTACGGGAAGCCCAAGTCTAAGGACCCACTGGGAGCAGACAAACAGGACCTTGCAGACAAACTCATTTCCCTTTTCTATGGGGTGGTGACCCCCATGCTCAACCCCATCATCTACAGCCTGAGGAACAAGGAAGTGAAGGCTGCTGTGAGGAACCTGGTATTTCAGAAACGCTTCCTGCAGTGATGGTGGAGGGGTCCTGATGGCTCTGTGCTTCCTGACTGCTCCCACCTGAGAGTCCCAGAGGACAAGATGAAAGACCAAGTTGATCAAAGGTTACATGGGTAAATCTCATTACACAGAATCTCATTACATAGAAGGGCTCTGTAGGAACAGGACACATTTAATGCAACTCCACCAAAGTATGTTCTTGTTTGTCTAGCCTCGTAGTTCTCATTCTCCATGATGGATACTGAATGAATTGATGTCAAGGAAAAGTAACTCTTCACATTTTTATTGTTGGATGAATGAAAAGCTCTAGTCTGTAGGTCTTTGATTCAATTGCTCCACGGCTTCTTTCTTTGAACATATTTGGCTGCTGCTTTCTGACCAGATTGGCTATTTTTGGCTTCTGGACTACTCCCAGATCCCAGAGAAGTAATTTGAATCAACACATTTGTTGAAAAGGTAAGCGAGCACTTTTAAAAGAATATAGAAACTCTTGTGGGTCCTTACTTTTATGTTACCTTTCAAGATCTTCCTACTCCATATTACATAATAGTTAGTTTTATTTTTCTCCTCATTGTTTTTTTTCTGGTTGTCATATAAATTCTTAAAACTGTTTGCTGAATTTTTCTGTCTCTGTATCTTCATAAATTAACCTGTAGCTTTGTCTCTCTCTTGTCCTTACTCAGAGTCCTCACCAGAAAATCATTAATGCTCTTGGAGAAGAGAGGGGAGTAAGGAAGGTGTGACAAAACTGATGCAAGGGTCAAGGGCACAATCCTCTTTTCTTTTTCTTTTGGAAGATATTGTTCATTCCTGGGCTCTGTCCTAGATACCAGTGGCCTCTCATGAGCCATCAGAGTAATGCGAAAACTGAGATAAGTCCAGGAGGATCAAATAAATTGTATTAATCACCTGACCTGGTTTAACCAAGCATGCAGCCAAGTGGCAGCCATCACTTGTTTTCCACTAAAGAATCCCTGAGGCCACGTAATAGTCAGAGGAAGACAGAAATAATGCCCATCAGGGGACATCTAAGAATCACCCACATGATTGTGAGGAATTCCAAGTCGGCTCCAAATAGTGATCAGTCTAGAAGTCCAGTTAAAAGGATCAGCAGAATAGAAAATTTCTGACATAAACTTTTAACCCCATAGAAACAAACTAACAATTAAAATAAGATCCTAGCACTTTGGGAGGCCAAGGCGGGTGGATCCACTGAGGTCAGGAGTTCGAGACCAGCCTGGCCAACATGGTGAAACCCCCATCTCTACTAAAAATACAAAAATTAGCCGGGCGTGGTGGTGCGTGCCTGTGCTCTCAGCTACCCGTGAGGCTGAGTCAGGAGAATCGCTGGAACCCAGGAGGTGGAGACTGCAGTGAGCTGAGATCGTGCCACTGCACTCCAGCCTGGGCGGCAGAGTGAGACTCCATCTCAAAAACTTAAAAAATAAACAGCCTTTGCTGAAAATCAGTTAACGTGGGAAGATGGTGAAAATGTTAAAGAAAATTCTCAGTAGTTTTGTCAATGGAATTAAAGAGACTTTTGAATCAATAAAACAAGAGTTGCCTATAAAAAGAGGCTAGGAGAAAAGATATCTGAGAGATAAGAACATTTTCTTGGAAAAAAGTTAACAATTATTGAACAAATACAATTCAATAGACAGCATTTAAGACAAACATTAAAAGGAATTTTTAAATTAAAAATAACTTTTTTTAAACTTTTATTTTAAGTTCAGGGGTACGTGTGCAGGATGTGCAAGTTTGTTACATAGGTTGCTCTCCTAGACTTAAGGGGGAAAGAAAAAGACAAGGAGGTTTAAATTGTTTGAGAAAAGATGAGAGGCATGGAAGACAGACCAGGGGAACCCATTATGAAATTCATAAGGAGAAAATAGAGCAGATGAAAACAAATAATGTTTAAAACCAAAAAAGAAACATTTCCCCAAACAGAAGTTTTAGGTCAAAGATACTTGCACACACATGATTATAGCAGCACAATTCGCAACTGCAAAATTGTGGAACCAACCCAAATGCCCATCAATCAACGAGTGGATACAGAAACTGATATATATACAATGGAATACTACTCAGTCATAAAAAGGAATGAATTAACAACATTCACAGCTGCCTGGATGAGATTGGAGACTATTATTCTAAGTGAAGTAACTCAGGAATGGAAAACCAAACATCGTATGTTCTCACTGATCTGTGGGAGCTAAGCTATGAGGATACAAAGGTATAAGAATTATACAATGAACTTTGGGGACGTGGGCGGATGTGTGGGAGGCGGGTGAGGGATAAAAGACCACAAATAGCATGCAGTGTCTACTGCTCTGGTGATGGATGCACCAAAATCTCACAAATCACCACTAAAGAACTTACTCATGTAACCAAACACCACCTGTACCCCAATAACCTATGGAAAAATTAAAGAAAAAAAAAGAGGTTTTAGGTCTTTTGTTCATAAATGTTTCGCCACCAGGTAAGAGCTGTGGCAAAATAGATACCTTATCTAGATCCAAGGATATGTTTTGATTTCCATATGTAGCAGGATATTTCTAGACTTTTCCACAGAATAAAACAGATTACCTAACAAGGAATAAGGATCTGAATGCCACTGGCCTTCTGCTCTGCAGTCCTATATGTAGAAGTCAGTAGAACAATGTTCACAGAGCTCTGAGGGAAACGGGTTAAGGGTCAGAAGTTCCACACACAGATGACCATTGCACAGGCATGAAGGTTAAAAAGATATTTGCCATTATGTGAAAACAAAGAAAGTACACATCTCCCTAATTTCTTTTTGAACGAGAAATTTGATTTAAGAAATTCTCTCAACAAAGAGTTAAAAATAAATGATTGCAAGACATAGTGTATACAATACAGTGAAAAACAATGAACGGCAAAGACCCATTAAGTCTAATTAATTCTTGATGCTGAATGTGCTGATTCCATTACCCATGGAAAGTTGAAAAAATGGTCAAAAACATGATGCCAAACTTTAAAAGAATGGATAATTTCTGTGTTATCTGTGGTTTTCATAGGATAAAAAAATAGGGAGACCTTGCCAAATCGTTTTATGCATGACAGTTAGCTCCTTGAGGACGGTAATTGCATCTGTCTTATTTATTTTTCTACTCTTCATAGCAATTACAGTGCTTGGTACACACTAAATACTCAATAGGTATTTGCTGAGTATGGAATGAGTATTCTGACACCAAAGTTTAACAAAGACAATGCAAAAAAAAAATGGATATAAATGAAACTATTTTTATTGTCTATTAGCTGATGAAAGCCAATGTGTATTAAACAAATAACACACATTATCCACTGGCATATTCTTAGGAATAGCAACATGGCACAACATTAGAAGAAGTCTTATTTTTAATGCTTTCATAATGGAGAAGTTCAAACCCCTATACGAAAATTAGAAAAAATAGAACCATTAACTTCAGGTATTTTTATCCAGATTCAATAATCACCTCGTGGTATATCTTGTTCAGCCATGCACCTCCTCACTTCTCCCACTTTTGAATTATGTTGAAGCAAATCCCAGATCATCATAGCATTTCATTCTTTTTTTTTTTTGAGATGGAGTCTCACCCTGTTGCCCAGGCTGGAGGGCAATGGCGTGATCTTGGCTCACGGCAACCTCCACCTCCTGGGTTCAAACGATTCTCCTGTCTCAGCATCCCAAGTAGCTGGGATTACAGGCGCACGCCACCACGCCCAGCCGGGTTTCACCATGTTGGCCAGGCTGGTCTCAAACCCCTGACCTCGTGATCCGCCCACCTCTGCCTCCCAAAGTGTTGTGATTACAGGCGTGAGCCACCGTGCCCAGCAGCATTTCATTTTTAAATAATTTAGTGTGTATCTATAATAAATGACAGACACTCTTTTTTTTTTCTTTTTTTTCTTTTTTTTCAAGACAAGGTCTCACTCTGTCGCCCAGGCTGAAGCTCGGTGGCACGATCACAGCTAACTGCAGCCTCAAACTCCTTGGGCTCAGGTGATCCTCCCACCTCCGCCTCCCAAGCAGCTGGGACTACAGGTGTGCACTATCACACCCGGCAAATTTTAAAATTTTTTATAGAGACCAGATTTCGCTGTGGTGCCCAGGCTGGTCTCGAACTCCTGGACTCAAATGATCTGCCCACCTCAGCCTCCCACAGTGCTGGGACTACAGGCATGATCTTTTCAGCATAATTAAATTACCAGTATCACACCTTTTAAAATATTATATGTTAATATCACCAACTCTTCACTCACTATTCACATTTATCCAAATGTCTTTTTTTTTTTGAGATAGAATTTTGCTCTGTTTGCCCAGGCTGGAGTGCAGTGGCGCAATCTCGGCTCACTGCATCCTCTGCCTCCCGGGTTCAAGTGATTCTCCTGCCTCAGCCTCCCAAGTAGCTGGGACTACAGGCAGGCACCGCCACACCAGGCTAATTTTGTATTTTTAGGAGAGATGGGGTTTCACCATGTTGGCCAGGCTGGTCTCGAACTCCTGACCTCAGGTGATCCACCCGCCATGGCCTCCCAAAGTGCTGGGATTACAGGCGAGAGCCTCTGCGCCTGGCCCCAAATGTCTTTTTGTCTTTTTTTTTTTTTTTTTTTTTGAGACGGAGTTTTCGCTCTTGTTGCCCAGGCTGGAGTGCAATGGCACGATCTCGGCTCACCGCAACCTCTGCTTCCCAGGTTCAAGCAATTCTCCTGCCTCGGCCTCCCGAGTAGCTGGGGTTACAGGCATGCGCCACCACACCTAGCTAATTTTTTGTATTTTTAGTAGAGACAGGGTTTCAACATGTTGGTCAGGTTGGTCTCGAACTCCCAACCAGGTGATCCACCCATCTCGGCCTCCCAAAGTGCTGGGATTACAGGCATGAGTCACTGCACCCGGCCCCCAAATGTCTTTTAAATATATTTCTTTCTCAATTTGTTTATCTTAATCAAGATCTTTAAAAGGTCCATTATAATTAGTGGATAAATCTCTTTTAATCTATAGTTTTCCCTTTATCGCCTTTGTTTACTTACTGTGTGTGTCTATGTAAGAAACTGAGTTGTCTGTGTTGGAGAATTTCCCATGGTCTGCATTTTACTGATTGCTTTCCTGTGATATGTGTCTGCTTTTCCTGCATACCAGAGGTTAGATGGAGAAACTTAACAGTTTTTTTTTTGTTTTTTGTTTTGTTTTGTTTTGAGACAGAGTCTCACTCTGTGACCCAGGCTGGAATGCAGTGCCGCAATCTCAGCTCACTGCAACCTCCACCTCCTGGGTTCAAGTGATTCTCCTGCCTCAGGCTCCCGAGTAGCTGGAATTACAGGCGTGCACCACCACACCTGGCTAATTTTTGTATTTTTAGTAGAGATGGGGTTTCACCATGTTGGCCAGGCTGGTCTCGAACTCCTGGTCTCAAATGATCCACCCGCCTTGGCCTCTCAAAGTGCTGGGATTACAAGTGTTAGCCACCACACCAGCCAGATGTTTTCTTTTAGCTGTAGTTAATGACTCAGTATTCCTAAGTCCTTTTCACATGCCCCTAATAGTCTTTGATGGCTTCCTTGCTTTCTGGGATGAGAAAACGATTCAGGTTCAACTTTCCTATTTCCTGTGCCAGCCTGGGAATCAGCTATTTCTCCAAGAGCTCTGGTTCTTTTTATTGGAAAATGATGTTTGGATACCATAATCTGAGTGCTAAAGGTGTTCCTTGCTACTGAATTTGTCATCATATCTAATCCCTTTTTATGGAAAGCGTTAGAAAATACAGTTTTGTTCTTTTTTTTTTTTTTAAGGTAAACTATGACAATTTCACACTGATACTTCCACCTTATATTCAGGTCTATAGTTTCCAAGTAACCTCAATAATTTTACATTTGTAGCTTCTCAATATGTCAAAAATCTTGATACTCAGTGACACTAACATAATTGATCATTTGATTTACTCCGCAAATATACACACAAAATAATTTTGGAATAACAATACTAATACTACCTTCATCAATAGGAATACTAAAAAAAAAAAAGCTTAAGATTCTAGAGAACTTTTCTTCTTATTCTTGTTTTTTATTCTTTGTTTTGTTTGATATTCCTTTTCTCCTTAGGGTAATTCCTGCTAGATATGTACAAATTATTGATTTTTAAAGTTAGTCGGGATAATTCCTCTCTTATAGTTATTTGGTTTATATACTTCATTTGCTTTTGAATTTTGCTTTTTTCCATCTTCTAATTATAAAAATGCATGGCTCTAAACTCAAATCTAGCCAAGTGAGGAGGCTCATGCCAGTAATCCCACCACTTTGGGAGGCTGAGGTGGGAGGATCACTTGAGCCCAGAAGTTCAAAATCAGCCTGGGAAATACAGTGAGACTTTATCTGTATACAAATTTAAAACTTAGAAAAAAAAATTCATCAAGAATGATGGCACATGCCTGTAGTCCCAGCTACTTGGGAGGCTGAGGTGGTAGGATTGCTTGAGTCCAGGAAGTGGAGGTTGCAGTGAGCCAAGATTGTACCACTGCACTCCAGCCTAGGCAACAGAGTAAAATTCTGTTTCCAAAAAAAGAAAAGAAAAGAAATATATAAAAAGAAAAATAATTTTAAAAAAACAAAGTCAAATCTACAAGGGAAGGTATATTTAATGAAATCTAACTTTTATCCTTGTCCCCTTCATCCTGTTACCTTCCTCACTTACAGATAACCACTTCTCAAATTTAGTGGTTTATCTTTCCATTAAAAAATATAATATATGGATATATTCATATTCTCCCACCTAAAAGATAGCACACAATACACACTTTTTCCACACTACCTTCTTCACTCAATGATAGTTCCTAATGATTACTCCATAGTTGTACATAGAGATGCAGAAAAAACATTTGAGTAAGTTTGGGGAATGTAATTACTACAATATATTATTCACCAACTCACTTTCTCTGCCCCAGCCCTTTTTACTTCAGTAGATTTACTCCCAATTTCTAACATTAATAAATTGTGAATATGTCCAGGATTTTATGAGAGGCAATATCAGAATAATTACATTAGAAGTTAAGTTTGGATGCTGAGCCTGGCTCTTCCTCATATAGGCTGCATTCTCCAGGGCAAGACCCTTCCTGCCTGACTCACAGTCTCCACAATTGTACAATGAGCTCAGATTATTCTCAGCTCTTAAATTATCTGATTCTCATACAACATCAATATCCTCTTCAACCATGGGAGAATCACCAAGCAGCAAGGGGTGGGGGGTGGGGCTAAAGGAAATTGAGCCAAGCAATGTCTCCCCGTAAAATTGTAGCACAGACCACACCTTCCTCCTCAACAGTCTGTGGGGCACTCTTATTTGCACCCTGCACACTTTCCAGCAAGCCTGAGGTGTATCTGTGCCAACACTATGGCCACCATGGTGCTTACTTAGGCACAGACAAAACTGGCTTCTGATGGGCTCATTATCCTTGAAAAAGACAAAAGATGTCACTTCTGTCATCCAAAGTAGTCACCCTTAGGGCCTCTGGAGGGAAACCTAGAGTCTTTAGTTGAACTTTTAAGATCTTCCAAAATCTTCATAGACCACTAAATTCTTCTTACATCCTGTCCTCTAATGATATACTACCCCAGCCCTTATTATCTACATCAATGACCAACTGTACATTTTCAAACACCTTGCCTTTGAGCTGTTTTCTTGAGTTTAGAATGCCCTCTCCTTCTCCATTTATTACCAGTGAAAATGCTACTATTTGGAGATCAGCTTAAATATCACTTTTTCTGAGAAGACTTCCTTGACTCTAAGTGAGGGTTAATGACTCCTTCCTTTGCCTGCCTGTAACATGTTGCTTCTAACACAAATGTAGCACTGAACTTACTCAGCCTTATTTGAATTATGGACATACCAATCTCCTCCTCTAAACTATGAGCTCCTTAAAGACAGGCTACATGTCTGGTATACATCTACACAATTGCCCCAATTGCCCGCCACAGAGCTTGGCACACTGTAAGAGCTCAACAAATGCTTATTAAAATGAAAGAAATGTATCTCAGAAATCCCAGTTCTATTGCTATATAAGCAAGAGACATAAGGGTAAATTTCTACCAAAAAACACATACGAGAATGTTTATAACAGCTTTATTAATAATAGCCAGAAACTGGAAATAACACAAAAGTCTATCAACAGTAGAATGAATACTTAAATTATATTATACTTATTTAATGGGATGCTGCACTACAATTAAAAAAAAGCTACTGATTTCTGCAGCAAAACTTGCAGTACATATGAAAACGTGATACATGCAAAAATGTGAATGTATCTCACATGTTATGCTGTATAAAAAGATACACACAAGGGATTGTATACTGTATAATTCCATTCATATAAAGTTTTTAAAAAGCAAAACTAATAGATGTTAACAGAAGTCAGAATAGTGGTCTCCTCTAGGAGAGAGGGAAGAGAGAGGAATGTAATTGAGGAGGGAAATAAGAGGGGTTTCTAAGGTACTGGGACATACTAATTTTTAACCTGGGTAAGGGGTGCATGGTGTGTATTTTCTTATTTTTCCTTGAATGGTATGTATATCCTTTTTTTTTTTTTTTTTTTTTTTTTTTTTTTTTTTGACAGAGTCTTGCTCTCTCACCTGGTTGGAATGCAGTGGTGCGATCTTGGCTCACTGCAACCTCTGCCTCCCAAGTTCAAGCAATTCTCCTGCCTCAGCCTCCTGAGTAGCTAGGATTACAGGCGTGCACCACCACGCCCAGCTAATTTTTGTATTTTTACAAAATACAAACCATCCTGTTGGTCAGGATGGTCTCTATCTCTTGACCTCATGATCCGCCCGCCTTGGCCTCCCAAAGTGCTGGGATTACAGGCGTGAGCCATCATGCCTGGCCTGCATATGCTTTTCATACTCTTTTGTATATATAATATATCTTACAGAAAGAAAAAATCCAATGCAAGGCATAACGGCTTATGACTATGAATGTGGCATGTATTTGATTCTAGGACTTTTAGAGCTGGTGGACAAGGCAGGTGTATTCATTTGTGGAAGAGGTGGTCAGGATTGCCCGAGTCTTATTTCTTGCTGACGCTGGGCAGGCTCCTCTTGCACACCAAGAACATCTGTGGAATGAGAGCTCATCACACCACCCCCAGTATTAGAATTAAATGGGAAAGGGAAAACTGGAATGTGATTAAGAAACTATAGTGTATCAGAAAACAGTGGTCCACATTGAAGATGCTTCTGGCTGCTACCTGGGCAGTCACAGCTCTCAGCTTTGGATCTTAGAAGTGGAGGTTACCAGATCCCAGCGGTAAATCAGCAATGCTCTCACAAATGCACAGATATAGGATACTCATGCACACACACACAGGAAAAGACTCAGCTGTGCACAACAGGATGCCACTTCTGTGATTGACTGCTCTTTTTGAAGTCCACAGCTGCTGTGCCTCTGAAACTCTCTGGTAGGAGCCACAACCAGGTTTATTTATGACCCTTTAAAAGGCTGGCCTGGGTAACAGCTGCCTAATAGAACCTATTTGGTGGGATACAGACAAGAGATCTTCGAGGTTGCTGGCTTTCTTCCAACCCTGGGATCCTGAATTTGGAAATGGTCAAAGGGACATTGACCACACAATGATTTTTCCTGTGTGGTGGGTTTCACAGTCTATCATGAACTCTGGTGAGAGTTCTCATTGACGGGGTTTCATGTTAATTTGGGCAAGGTCAGGATGATCCTTCCTCTCTAATGTTTTCCAACAGCACCGCAGAATTGGTAGGAAGAGAGGGAAGGAGGGAAGAAACTATTTCTGGAGAGACTTCAGAATAATTGGATCATGGGGACATGACCCCAGATGTACAAGAAGTTTCTTAACTTTGTGACTTGTATTTATAAGCTTTAAATCACTTCAGAGACTAGAAAAGACCCCAATACAGAGTGGAATTTAAATTGCTTCATATATGCAATGCGTGGTCCTTTGTGGCTTTTACCCAAACACAGAACAAAGACAAGAAATGTAACTTTCACCCACTTCAGGTGCTAACTCACCTGGCTGCTGCTTTCAGACAAGATTGGATATTTATAGCCCCTTATTAACATATTTTATGATAAAAACAAAGAGGGCAACTTTTTAAAGATTTGTAACTCTTCTTTGCTCACAACTCACTCTTCTTGACTCAGCCCCATCCGTGGCCTCAGATCTAGTGGCACAGGAGAAAGGACAAGAAAAATAAAAGACTTCTCCGTGTTGTAAAAGGAAGTCCAAGAGAGAAATGTATGAGGCCGTTTAGTCCCTGGGATGGAATATTCTGTAAAATAATCTATCCCAAAGTGAGCAGTGTGGAAATTGGGGCTCAGAGAGGAAAAGGGACTTAACAATTTCCATCCATTGAGTGATTGGCGAATGCCAGTTTCCCCAGTGCCTAAGTCTGATATCTTCCTATTAACTCACAATCCTTGAGTGAAGCTGAACCATCATCACATTTATAGGGGCAAATCTTGAGATTTCACTGCCTGTGTCAATATGAGCAAACACTTTTTGGCAGTCAGAACTGTGCAAAGAGAAAAGATGAACCTGGGCAGGCAATGAGATGCCTTCCCAGAAAGAGATCAAACAGATAATGGGGAGGCAAGTGGTGGCAAGCTGGGATGTAGTCAGAGAGTCAGAATAAATGACGGGAGGTGCCTTCCCTGCAGATAAGACATGAGAAATAACTAGAAATAAATGAAAAGACACAAAGACAGATAAGTCCTCCTGGGAAAGAGCCAGCTCCAGGATCAGGTGACCAACCTACTGGACTCACCCTGGATGAGAGGTGAGAAAAAGCACTGCTCCAGGCACACAGAGGGCCACATTCTCCCAAGCTGGGCTTTGCAGTGTTCTCTCAGGTGAGGCTACACACCATTATTACCCAGGCAGACCAACTCCAAACAGACAGGAATGGTACCTGTGGTTCCAGGAGATGAGGGCAGCTTCCCATTCTTGTTTCCTCCCATATAGCCCTTCCTGTCCTTCAAGTCATTCCCTGAAAAGCCTTCCTGATCCCGTTCACCACCCAAGCCACTGCCTATAATCTTTTGGGTCACCCATCTCCCTCCCCAAGCACCTAGGAACCTCCCACACTCTGGCCGGGTTGAAGCCATCTCAGTCCCTTACAAACACTGTTAGGGCTCCACACACTGAGTGCTTCAGAAGAGTTGGCTGGTCATGGACAAATGATTAAATACCACTGAGTTCTGCCTAGATTGTGAGAGAGAACTGAGGAAGAAGAATAGTCCAGTATCTAAAAGTGACTGGAGCCAGGCGCAGTGGCTCATGTCTGTAATCCCAGCACTTTGGAAGACCAAGGCAGGAGGATTGCTTGAGGACAGGAGCTTGAGACCAGCCTGGGCAACATTGTGAGACACCATCTCTACAAAAAATAAAAAATTAACTAGGCACAGTGGCATGTGCCTGTAGTCCCAGATACTCTGGAAGCTGAGGTGGGAGGATCACTTGAGCCCAGGAGGCCAAGGCTGCAGTGAGCTATGGTCTTACCACTCTACTCCATCCTGGGTGACAGAGTGAGACCCTGTCTATAAAAAATAAATAAATGAATAAATAAATAAGAAAAAAAGAAAATCTCAAATCGAATGATAAAAGACAATTGATAGATGCTATTACTTAGAATTATCTGAAAATGATTTTTAAAGGAGTGTAATAAAAATTCCTCAACAAACAATTACAAACATGTTTGGGACAAAAGGAAAAAAGAGAAAGTCTCAGCAAATAAATAGAAGATATAAAGAAAAAAACAAATGGACATTTTAGAATTGAAAAAAATGCAATAACTTATTTTAAAAACTCGATAGATAGGCTCAACAACAGAATAGAGGGAAAGGATTAAAGAATCAGTGAACTTGATTGGAAATTACCCCGATCCCAACAACACTGAAAAAATCCACTGATAAAAAAATGAAAGGAGCCATGAGACCTGTAGGATTACAACAAAAGATCTAATACATGTGTCATCATAATATGGAAAGGAGATGAGAAAGATGGAGCTAAAACGGTATTTGAAAAAAAATGGCTGAAAAATTTTACCAAATTTTTCAAAATACATAAACCTCCCAGTCCAAAAAGCTGAGCAAACTCCAAATTGGATAAACCCAAAAAAATCCATATCAAGATACATCACAGTCAAACTTTTGAAAACTAAAAGACAAAGAAAAAATATTGAAGCAGTGGAAGAGCAAGAACACTTCACCCACAGGGAAAAAACAATTTGAAGAACAACGAATTTCTCACAAGAAACAAAACAGGCCCAAAAGGAGTGGTGCAACATTTTTCACGTACCGAAAATAAAGAACTGTCAAACCATAATTCTATATCTAGTGACGTAAGAATTCAATCCTTCAGGAATGAAAATGTAATGAAGACGTTCTGTGATGAGGGAAAGGTAGGAGAATTTGTAATCAGCAACTCTACCCTAAAATAATGACTAAATAAGTTCTCTAACAGAAAAAAATTATAAAATAAAGTAACCTGAAGCACAAGAAAGAACGAACAATGGAAAGAATAAAATATGAGTAAATATAATAGACTTTCCATCTTCCCTTGAGTTTTCAAACTTAGATTTGATCGTTGAAGCAAAATTATAACACTGCCTAATGTAGTTCTCAATGCATTTAGAGGAATTATTTAACACACTTATCACTGAGGGATAGTAAAGGCATATACAGGGAGGTATGATTTTCACACTTCACTTGAACAGGTGAAATGTGGCTACTACTAGAACACATTAAGTATGCATGTATAACATAATACCTAGATTAACCACTAAAAAAATCTTTACACAGTGGTGCATTCAAATGCACTGTATATAAATCAAAATGGAACTCTAAAGTATATATAAGTGACCCACAGAAAGGCAGGCAGGAAAAGGAAACAGGGTAACAAAAACCAGAAGTGTCTTAATCTGTTCAGTCTGCTATAACAAAATACCATAAACTGAGTAATTCTCACAGATCTGGAGGCTGGGAAGTCCAAGATCAAAGCATTGGCAGATTTAATGTCTGATGAGAGCTCACTTCCTCATACACAGGTACATTTTCATTGTGTCCTCACATGGAGTAAGGCGGAAGGGGTCCCTCTAGGGCCTCGTTTATAAGGGTGCTTGTCCCATTAATGAGAGCATGCCCTTTATGCCCTGATCATCTCCCAAATGTTTCACCTCATTATGCCACCATATTGAGTATTAGTTTTAAACAAATTAATTTGGGGTGACATATATATTTAGTCATTTCAAGAGGGAACAAACAAAAAACAAAAATAAAATAGTAGACTCAAGCACTAAAATATCAATAATTATATTAAATATAAATCATCTAAATATGCCTATTAAGAGACAGATATTGAAAGAGTGGATTAAAAATTGACCCAACTACATAGAGTTTACAAGAAACTTGTTTCAAATATAAAACTACAGGTAAATTGAGAGTAAAAGGATGGAAATCGTATCAATTAAAGCAGAAAAAAAGCACTTTTAAAAAATAACACCTATTAATGACAAAAAGCTTTCAGAAAACTAGAAATAGATGGGAAACTTCTTCAATTTGATAAAGAATATCTACTGAAAAAGCATAGTTAACATCATATTTAGTGATGAAAGACTGTGTTCCCCCAAAGAAAAAAATACTGAGGTATAAATCTAACAAAACATGTATAGAACATGTATGCTGAAAACTAAAAAATGCTGAACTCAAGGCTCTAAATAAATGGAGAGACATACTGTGTTCATGGGTTGGAACACTCACTGTAGCAAAGATATCAACTCTATTCAAATTGATGTGCAAACTTAACACAATTTCTATCAAAATCCCAGCAAGACTTTTTGTATGTATAGATAAAATTATTCTAAAATGTACATAGAAAGGCAAAGGAACTCATACAGCTAAAATAATTTTATACAAGTAAAAATAAAGTGGAAGGAATCACTATTGCTGGCTTTAAGATTTTTTACATAGCTACAATAATCTTGTGAAGGGTACACAAGACCATGTAGTATTGGTAGAGGAACAGACACGTAGATCAATGAAACAGAATAGAGAGTCAGGAAATAACCCCACATAAGTATGTCCAATGATTTTTGACAAAAGTGCAAAAGCTATTCAATGACATAAGAATAGCCTTTGCAATAAACGGTACTGGAGCAATTGAATATCCATAGGAAAAAAACAAAAACAAAAACTTTAACCAAAGTCTCATACATTGTGCAAAAATTAACTCACAAGAAAACCAGATCAAGATGGCTGACTAGGGATGCCAAACACTCATCTCCTGCACAAAGAAGAAGAAAACAACAAATAACTGTACTGTGAGTAGAGCAACTAAAGGAGAACACGGAAATACAGCAAGAAAGTGACAAAAACCCTCTGAGGCATGGATGTGATGGCAGCATAGACAGGGAAGTGAAACATTCAGCTGGGGTCAGCTCAGAGTCAAAAGGGACTTCTCATTGTGGGGAAAAGGTAAGCAGGAGCTCCTCAGCAGTCCCCATTTCAACTGAGGACATCTGCAATCTTAGCTGCTGGCATGCCTCACAAGTCTCACAAGCCTTGAATCCATAATAGGGAGCTGCCTGGAGTCTGCATAACCTCATTGCTCTAAAGAAGGAACACACACCAAGTGCCCCCTTACTCCCAGGACCAAAGCTGCTACAGCATGGTGGCCATTTGGGGAATGAGGTTGCTGTTGGTGTGCATCTTGACCTGGGATCCTATAGCCACTACATGTCTACATTTTTGGAGACCAGCCATCATCCCCTGATACCCATATGGAAAACTGCACCACCACCCCAGCTAGACCCAGCAGTACAGCCTTAACCCCAGCACCTGAGTCTATGCATTGCCCTACACTCCAGGGAGCAGGCAGTTCAGGACAGCATGGAGGCCACCCTCAGGACTGGAGGAACAGACATACACATTCCTTAGAGCCATAAAACAAGCTGCCTGATACCCACCACCACCAATGACTCTGTCCCCTCCAATGGCAGAACTGTCACGCATTGCAAACATATTCCAGGAACCCAGAACTGGTCCAACTGGTACCCACCACTGCCAGTCACCCTGCCCCCTCCAATCGTCTCATATTATATATGCCCCCTAGGGACGAAGAACCTGCCTGTGTGGTGCCCACTGCCACCAGCAACCCCATCTCCTTCAACTGCAAAGTAGCCATGCACCATGTATACCCCCCAGGAACCAAGGACCAGCTCGTCCAGTGCCCACTGCAGCTGGCAACACCATCCTGACAACTGGTGGAGACACTATGCTCAGTGCACACCCCCACCGCAAGAACTTAAGAACCAACCCATCTAGTAGCCCCTGCCTCTAGCAAAGCCACACAACAGCCTCCACAAACACCTTCAGTCTAGGCCACTGAGGCACTCACAGACACCACCACTGACATTGATTAGAGCTAAAGAAATCACATGGAGACTGCATTACTGCACTCACAGAACAAAATTCAAAGCACCCTACCAAACCAACAATACAGGACACATCTACAGGAAAAAGGCTTTCCCTATGGAAGCTACTCCATAAATTTGGAAGGGCTGACTGCTCCATTAGATGCACAAATATCAGTGTAGGAACACAAGAAACATGAAAAACAAGGAAACATGACACCTTCAAAGGAACACAATAATTCTCTAATAACAAAACCAAAGGAAAGGAAATCTATGACGTGTCTGAAAAGGAATTCAAAATAATGATCCTAGGAATCTCAGTGAGATACAAAAGAATATCGATAGATAATTCAATGAAATCAGAAAAACAATTCATGATCACAATGAGAAATTCAACAAAGAGAAAGAGTTCATAAAAAAGAACTAAACAAACCTTGGAGCGGAATAACTCAAAGAATAAAAATACAATTGAGAGCTTCAACAACAGAGAAATAATTTTTCAACTTAAAGACAGATCTTTTGAAAAAATAACCCAGTGGAACCAAAAAAAAAAAAAGAAAAGACAAAATAATTTAAAAGAATGAAGAAAACCTACATGATTTATGGGATACCATTAAGCAAACAAATATTGCTATTATGGGAATTCCAGAAGGAATAGAGATTAGAAAGGCATAAAAAACCTACTTACTGAAATATTAACTGAAAACTTCCCAAGTCTTTGTAAAGATACAGACATCCAGATCCAGGAAGTTCAAAGATCCCCACACAAAGTCAACTCAAAAAGGTCCTTTCCAAGGCACATTATAGTTAAATTGTCAAAAGCCAAAAACAAAGAGAAAAATTTAAAGACAGCAGGAGAAAAGAATCAAGGCATATACAAGGGAATACCTATTAGACTAATAGTGGATTTCTCAGCAAAAACCTTATGGCCAGGGAGAACGATATATTCAAAGTACTGAAAGGAAAAACTGGCAGCCAAGATTACTATACCTAGCAAAGCTATCCTTCAGAAATGAAGGGGAAATAGAGTCTTTTCAAGACAAGCAAAACAAGAAAATGCATGACTAGACCAGCCTTACAAGAAATGCTCAAGGGAGTCTTACATCTGAAGTGAAAGGATAATAACTACCATCATGAAAACATGTGAAAGTATAAAACTCTCTGCTAGAGCAGATAAACAAATGAGAAAAAGAAAAGGATCAAACCTTATCAACTACACAGAATCACCAAACCACAAAGATAAGCAATAAAAGAAGAATAAAGAAACAAAGGATATATAAAACAACCAGAAAACAAATAACAAAATGACAGGAGTAAGTATTCACCTATCAATAATAACCTTGAACGTAAACAAATTAAATTATCCATTTAAAAGATATAGACTGGCTGAATGAATAAAAAGAACAAGACTCAACTATATTCTGCCTACAAGAAACTAATTTTACCTGTAAAGACAAACACAGACAGAAAGTGAAGGGATAGAAAAAGATATTCTACACAAATGGAAACCAAAAATGAGCAGGAATAGCTATATTTATACTAGATAAAATAGACTTTAAATTAAAAATTGTAAAAAGAGACAAAAGGGTCACCCTCCAATGATAAAGGGATTAATTCCACAGGAGGATTATATGACAATTGTAAATATTTATAAACCTAACACTGGAGAACCCAGATATATAAAGCAATCGTTAGATCTAAAGAGGGAGAGAGACCATAATACAATAATGGTTAAGGACTTTACCACCCCATTGTCAGGATTGGGCAGATCATCTAGACAGAAAACCAAAAAAGAAACATTGGATTTAAACTGCGCTATGAACCAAACAAATCTTACAGACATTTGCAGAATATTTCATCCACCAGCTGCGGCATACACATTCTTCACCTCAGTATATGCAACATTCTCCAGGATAGACTGTATGTTAAGCCAAAAAATAAATCTCAACAAATTTTTAAAAGTTGAAATAATATCAAATATATTTTTTGACCACAATGGAATAAAAATATAAATGAATAACAAGAGGAACTTTAGAAATGTAATGAATAGATGGAAATTAGAAAACATGTTTCTGAATGACCAGTGAGTCAGTGAAGAAATTAACAAGGAAATTTAAAATCTTCCTGAAATAAATGAAAATAGAAACACAACATGCCAAAATGGGACATAGCAAAAGCAGTATTATGAGGGAAGTTTACAGCAATAAACATCTACATTAAAAAAGTAAAAAGAATACAAATAAACAACCTATTGGGGTACCTCAAGTAAATAGAAAAGGAAGAACAAACCAAACCCCAAATCAGTAGGAGGAAAGAAATGATAAAGATTAGAGCATAAATAAATGAAAGAGTATTTAAAAAGTATATAAAAGATCAAGGAAACAAAAATTTGGTCTTTTGAAAAGATAAATAAAATTGGCAAACCATCAGATAGACGGAGAAAAAAAAGAAAAGGCCCAAGTAAATAAAATCATAAATAAAAAAAGGAGACATTACAACCGATACAACAAAAATGCAAAGAATCATTAGAAACTATTATAAATAACTACACATCAACATACTGGAAAACCTAGATGAAATGGGTAAATTCCTGGACACATACAACCTACTAAGGTAGAACCAGAAATAAACAGAAAACCTGCACTGACTAATAATGAGTAACAAGATTGAAGTAGTAAAAAAGTCTTCCAACAAAGAAAAGCTCAAGTCCAGTGGCTTTACTGTTGAATTCTACTTCAGATTTAAAGAAGAGTTAACACCAATTCTTCACAAACCATTCCAAAAAATTGAAGGGGAGGAAATTTTTCCAAACTTACTCTATGAGGTCAGCATTACCCTGATACCAGAAGCAGAAAGGGACACAACAAAAAAAGAAATGCAGGCCAATATTCCTGATGAACATAGATGCAAAGTCTTCAACAAAATACCAGCAAATCAAACCTGACAGCACATCAAAAAATGTATACACCATGATCAAGTAGGATTTATGTCAGGGATGCTTGCAAGGATGGTTCAACATACGCAAATTAATAAATGTGATTATCACATCAACAGAATGAAGGAAAAATACCATAGGATCCTCTCAATAGATGCAGAAAAATGATTTGATAAAATTTAACATTCTTTCATGATAAAAATTCTCAACAAAACAGGTATAGAAGAAATGTACCTCAACACAATAAAGGCCACATATGACAAACCCACAGCTAACATCATATTAAGTGAGAAAAAGTTGAATGCTTTTTCTCAAAGAACTGGAACAAGACAAGGATGCCACTTAGAACCAAAAAATGAAATCAGTAAAGTAGCAGGACACAAAAATTAATACACAAAATAAGTAGTGTTTCTATAAACCAATAACAAACTAGCTGAAAAAGAAATCAAGAATGCAATTTTATTTACAATAGTCACGCCAAAAATACCTAGAAATAAATTTAACTGAGGATGTAAAAGACCTCTACAAGGAGAGTTCAATCGGTAGCGGGAGCGGAGAGCTGACCCCAGAGAGCCCTGGGCAGCCCCACCTCCGCCGCCGGCCTAGTTACCATCACACCCCGGGAGAAGCCGCAGCTGCCGCAGCCGGCCCCAGTCACCATCACCGCAACTATGAGCAGCGAGGCCGAGACCCAGCAGCCGCCCGCCGCTCCCCCACGCCGCCCCCGCCCTCAGCGCCGCCGACACCCACCCCAGCACTGCAGGCAGCGGCGCAGGAAGCGGTGGCCCGGGCGGCCTCACATCGGCGGCGCCTGCCGGCGGGGACAAGAAGGTCATCGCAACGAAGGTTTTGGGAACAGTAAAATGGTTCAGTGTAAGGAACGGATATGGTTTCATCAACAGGAATGACACCAAGGAAGATGTATTTGTACACCAGACTGCCAGAAAGAAGAATAACCCCAGGAAGTACCTTCGCAGTGTAGGAGATGGAGAGACTGTGGAGTTTGATGTTGTTGAAGGAGAAAAGGGTGCGGAGGCAGCAAATGTTACAGGGCCTGGTGGTGTTCCAGTTCAAGGCAGTACATATGCAGCAGACCGTAACCATTATAGACGCTATCCACGTCGTAGGGTCCTCCACGCAATTACCAGCAAAATTACCAGAATAGTGAGAGTGGGGAAAAGAACGAGGGATCGGAGAGTGCTCCCGCAGGCCAAGCCCAACAACGCCGGCCCTACCGCAGGCGAAGGTTCCCACCTTACTACATGCGGAGACCCTATGGGCGTCGACCACAGTATTCCAACCCTCCTGTGCAGGGTGAAGTGATGGAGGGTGCTGACAACCAGGGTGCAGGAGAACAAGGTAGACCAGTGAGGCAGAATACGTATCGGGGATATAGACCACGATTCCGCAGGGGCCCTCCACGCCAAAGACAGCCTAGAGAGGACGGCAATGATGAAGATAAAGAAAATCAAGGAGATGAGACCCAAGGTCAGCAGCCACCTCAACGTCGGTACCGCCGCAACTTCAATTGCCGACGCAGACACCCAGAAAACCCTAAACCACAAGATGGCAAAGAGACAAAAGCAGCCGATCCACCAGCTGAGAATTCGTCCACTCCTGAGGCTGAGCGGGGCAGGACTGAGTAAATGCCAGCTTACCATCTCTACCATCATCCGGTTTAGTCATCCAACAGGAAGAAATATGAAATTCCAGCTATAAGAAATGAACAAAAGATTGGAGCTGAAGACCTTAAGTGCTTGCTTTTTGCCCGTTGACCAGATAAATAGAACTATCTGCATTATCTATGCAGCATGGGATTTTTATTATTTTTACCTAAAGACGTCTCTTTTTGGTAATAACAAACGTGTTTTTTAAAAAAGCCTGGTTTTTTTCAATACGCCTTTAAAGGTTTTTAAATTGTTTCATATCTGGTCAAGTTGAGATTTTTAAGAACTTCATTTTTAATTTGTAATAAAAGTTTACAACTTGATTTTTTCAAAAAAGTCAACAAACTGCAAGCACCTGTTAATAAAGGTCTTAAATAATTGTCAAAAAAAAAAAACCTCTACAAGGAAAATTATAAAATCCTTTTACCACACTTACTCAACATTGTACTGAAAGTCCTACCCAGAGCAAGCAGGTAAGAGAAAGAAATAAAGGACATTCAGGTTAGACAGGAGGAAGTAAAATTATTCTTGTTTATAGAAGAAGACATGACCTTATACAGAGAGAAACCCAAAAACTCCACCAGAAAAAAAAGCCACTTAGAACCAAAAAATGAAATCAGTAAAGTAGCAGGATACAAAAATTAATACACAAAAATCAGTTGTGTTTCTATACACCAATAACAAACTAGCTGAAAAAGAAATCAAGAATGCAATTTTACTTACAATAGTCACACCAAAAATACCTAGAAATAAATTTAACTGAAGATGTAAAAGACCTCTACAAGGAAAATTATAAAATTCTGATGAAAGAAATTAAAGTGGATGCAAAATGATACAAAGACATCCCATGTTTATGGATTGGAAGAATTCATACTGTTAAAATGAATGATCATACTGCCAAAAGCAAACTACAGCTTCAATGAAATTCCTATCAAAATATCAATGACATTCTTCACAGAAATTTTTAAAAGTCCTAAAATTCTTGTGGAACTACAAAAGGCCCTGAGTAGCCAAAGTAATCCTGAACAAAAAAACAAAGTTGGAGATATCATACTATGTGACCTCCTACTGCAGCTATTGTAGCCAAAATAGCATGGCACTGGCATAAAAAGAAATATATAGAACAATGAAACTGGCTGGGTGGGGTGGCTCACGCCTATAATCCCAGCACTTTGGGAGGCCGAGGTGGGAGGATCACCTGAGGTCAGGAGTTTGAGACCGGACTGGCCAATATGATAAAAACCTGTCTCTACTAAAAATACAATAATTAGCCAGGTATGGTGGTGGGTGCCTGTAATCCCAGCTTCTCAGGAGGCTAAGGTAGGAGAATCGCTTCAATCCAGGAGGCGGAGGTTGCAGTGAGCCGAGATCGCTCCATTGCACTCCCGGCTGGGTGACACAGTGAGACTCCATCTCATTAAAAAAAAAAGGGGGGGGGGCCAGGTGCGGTGGCTCACGCCTGTAATCCCAGCACCTTGGGAGGCCAAGGTGGGTGGATCACAAGGTCAAGAGATGGAGACCATCCTGGCCAACATGGTGAAACCCCATCTCTACTAAAAATACAAAAATTAGCTGAGCGTGGTGGTACATGCCTGTAGTCACAGCTACTTGGGAGGCTAAGGCAGGAGAATTGCTTGAATCTGGGAGGCGCAGGTTGCAGTGAGTCGAGATTGCACCACTGCACTCCAGCCTGGTGACAGAGCAAGATTCTGTCTAAAAAAAAAAACAAACAAAAAAAAACACAATGAAACAGAATACAGAACTCAGAAATAAATTCACATATTTACAGCCAACTGATTTTTGACAGAGGTGCCAGAAACATTCATTGGGGAAAGGACGGTCTCTTCAAAAAATGATGTTGGTAAAACTGGATACCTATATGCAGAATAATGAAACTAAGATACCCATCTCTTACCGTATACAAAAATAAACTAAAGATGAATTAAAGACCCAAAGCTATAAAACTACTAGAAAAAAACATAGGAAAAACACTTTTGGACACTGGTCTGGGCAAAGATTTTTATGAAGAATGCAGAGGCAACAAAACCAAATGCACAGGCAACAAAACCAAAAATAAACAAAGAGGATTATATCAAACTAAAAATCTTCTGCACAGCAAAGGAACTGATCAACACAGTGAAGAGACAATCTGCAGAATGGGAGAAAATATTTATCTGAGAAGGGATTAATATCCAGAATATACAAATAACTCAGTGGCCAAAACCAACAACAACAAAAATACAGTTGGCCCTTGAACAGCGGTTTGAACTGTACAGGTTCACCTATACATAATCTTTCTTCTACCTCTGCCACCTCTGAGACAGCAAGACCAACCCTCCCTTCTCTACTTCCCCCTCCGCCTACTCAACATGAAGACAATAAGGATGAAAACCTTTATGATGATCCACTTCTACTTAATGAATAACAAATATATTTTCTCTTCCTTATGATTCTCTTAATAGCATTTTCTTTTTCTAACTTAATTTATTGTAAGAATAAAGTATATAATACATATAACATACAAAATAAGTGTTAACTGAATGCTTATGACATTGGTAAAGCTTCCAGTCAAGAGTAGGCGATTAAGTTTTTGAGGAGTCAAAAGTTGTATATGGATTTTCAATTGTGCTGGGGGTTGAAGTCACTAACCCTCACACTGTTCAAAGGTCAACTATAATATGATTTAAAAATTGGCAAATGTTCTGAATAGACATTTCTCAAAAGAAGACATGCAAATGACCAATGGGTATATGAAAAATGCTCAATATCAGTAATCATCAGGGAAATGCAAATCAAAATTGCAGTGAGACATCATCTCACCCCAGTTAAAATGACTATTATCAAAAGAGAAAAATAACAAATGTTAGCAAGGATGCAGAAAAAAAGAGAATGCACACATTGTTGTTGAGAATATAAATTACTATAGCTATTATGGAAAAGAGTATGAAGGTTCCTGAAAAAACTAAAAAGTCTTACCACGTGATTCAGCAATCCCACTACTGGGTATATATCCAAAGGAAAGGAAATCAGCATGTTGAGGAGCTATCTGCACGCCCGTGTTTATTGCAGCACTATTGACAATAGCAAAGATATGGAGTCAACCTAAGTGTCCATCAAGAGATGAATGAACGAAAAAAATGTGGTTTTTATACAAAATAGAATACTATTTGGCCATAAAAAAGAATAAAACCTGTTATTTGCAGCAACGTGGATGAGCCTGGAGGACATGTTAAGTGAAATAAGCCAGGCACAGAAAGATGGATACCACATGTTTTCACTAATATGTGGAAGTGAAGTAAGTTGATCTCATAGAAGTAGAAAATAGAGTGGTGATAACTAGAGGCTGGGAAGTGGGGGTGGTGGAGGAGGGAGAATTTGACTAATGCATGCAAAATTATAGCTAGAGAGAAGGAATAAGTTCTAGTGTTCTTTAGCCCTGTAAGGTAACTGTAGTTAATAATAATTTATGCTATATTTTCAAATAACCAAAAGAGGGTATTTTGAATGTTTCCAACACAAAGAAATGCTAAATGTTCAAGGTGATGGATATGCTAAAAAAAAAAAAACCTTGGTTTTATCATTGTACATTGTATACAGATATTGAAATGTCACCTTGTACCCCAGGTAACAAATAAAAATTAACTCACAATGGATCGCAGATTTAAATTTAAAGGGTAAAACTATAACTCTTCTAGCAAAAAATATAGGAGAGAAACCTTGAAACATACAGCATAGTGGAGAGTTCTTAGGCATAACAACAAAAAGCAAAATTCATGAAAAAAAGATAAATTTGGATGTCACCAAAACAACTTTCAAAATCTGACAGTATAAAACAACAATAACAATAATTCAATTAGAAAATGGGCAAAATACATGAAGAGACATCTTGTCCAAACAGGATATACAGTGGCAAATAGCAATGAAAAGATGTTCAACATCACTAACTTTTATGCAAACGCAAATTAAGACCATAAGGTATCACTTCACACCTATTGAAACAGGTAGAATAAAACATGTTCACAGCACTGAAGTTGGCAAGGATTCAGAGAAACTAGATCTCTCACACGTTATTAGTGGGAGGTGTATATTGACACACCTACTCTGGAAAACAGGCAGTTCCTAAAAAACTAAATATATGCTTACCATATAACTCAGCAATTACACTAAACTAAATAACACTCTGGCATTTATCCCAGGAAATCAACATTTATGTCTGCACAAAAAAAGCTACTATACAATTGTTCACAGTAGCTTTATTTGCAATAACCAAAAATTGGGACAACAAAAATGTCCTAAAATGGGTGAATGAATAAACAAACTTTGGTACATCCATGCCATAGAATACTACTCAGCAATAAACAGAAATTAACTACTGATACATGCAGCAACATGAATAGACCTCACAGCATTACACTGAGTGAGAAAAAGTCAGTATCAAAAGATTACAAACTATATGATTCCATTTCTATAACATTCTCAAATGACCAAATTGTGGGGATAGAAAACAAATTAGTGGCTGCCAGGGGTTACAGATGGGGAAGGGAGGGGAGTAGGGATGACTAGAAAGGGATAGCATGGGGGAGACCTTTGTGGTGATAGAATAGTACCATGTCTTGATTGCGCTAGTGGTCGTATGAATCCACACATGTGATAAAATGAAATAGAACTATACACATACACATTGCACCAATGTCAATTTCCTGGTATGCTATTGCGTATTGAATATTGTGTATTTAGGTAAGGTGTAACAAGCAGGTGAAACTAGCAGAAGGATACAAGAGACATCTTCGTACTATCTTTGCCACTTTCTATGGATCTATAATTATTTCAAAGTTTAGAGGTTTTTAAAACAGGTAACAATAATTCAATGCCTTCTCATAATAAATATTCTTAGCCAACCAGGAACAAAAGGGAACATTCTTTTGAATGTTATCTATGAAAATCTATGGCAAATATCATACTAAATGGTGAAAATAGTGAAAGTATTCTCTGTGAGATGGGAATGAGGTAAGGATGTTTGCTATTGCCACTTTTCATTCGGCATTGAACTGAAGGAACCAGCTTGTGCAGCAAAGCAAGAAAAAGAGACAAGAAGTCTAAAATTTTTGAAGCAAGAAAAACAACCATCATTATTCACAGATGATATTACTTGTGACCTATGAGAAAATCTAAAATAATTTACAGACATATTATAAGAATTGAAAACAGTTTATGAGAATAGATTGTGGGGACAGATTTTTAAAAAATGAAAATAAATTTTAAAAGAAATAGAAAATAAAAATTTTATTTAAAAAAAAAAAAAAAGAAAAGAGAGTTTAGCCAGGTCACTAGACACTAAATTAACAGCAAAAAGAAATCTACTGCATTTCTACATTCCAGCAAGAGAAAATGAAATTTTTTTAAAGATACCAAGAAATATACATTAACTAGGGGTAAACCTGGCAAAGAGCTCCAAGATCTTTAGGCATGGAAGTATAAATTATAAAAAATTTTGAATAATATTAAAATAAAGAGAGAACAGTCTATCAATCACAGGTGGGAAAACTCAATGTTATAAAGATGTTAGTTCTCTTCAATTTGATCTATAGAGTCAATGCTATCCCAATTTTATTTATTTATTTATTTATTTATTTATTTATTTAAAGACAGAGTCTCACTCTGTTGCCCAGGTTGGAGTGCAGTGGCGTGATCTCAGCTCACTGCAGCCTCCACCTCCTGGGTTCAAGCGATTCTCCTGACTCAGCCACCCGAGTAGCTGGGATTACAGGCATACGCCACCATGCCTGGCTAATTTTTGTATTTTTAGTAGAGATGGGGGTTCACCATGTTGGCCAGGCTGGTCTCGAACTCCTGACATCAAGTGATCCACCCACCTTGGCCTCCCAAACTGCTGAGATTACAGGCGTGAGCCACCGCAGTCAGCCCTATCCCAATTTTTAAACCACAGAAAGAAATATTGTAGAATTTAATAAGCTGGTTGTATAGTTTATATAGAAGAACAAAAGGACTAACAACAGCTATGACATATTTGAAGAAGTATTGGGTGGAGATGAAGGGAGGTACCCTACGAGAAATGAACACATACTATAAAGCAATCAATGAGGGCAGTGTAGTGATGACACAGGAATAGACAAGTAAACCAATGGAAACGATTAGAAACGCCACACACAGATCCATTCCTGTTAGGAGACCTGATGCATGGCAGAGATGGTATTGCAGATCGGTGGAGAAAGGATGGGTTGTAAATTCAATTAGGAAAATCGGGAATATGTATGTATACCAGGAGAAATGTACAAAATATTCATAGCAGCATTCACTGGGAAGCAACCCAATTATTCATCAAAGTAGAATGTATACATAAGCTATGCTACATTCATTTAATGGATTTTAACAATGTAAATTAACAAACTTAGCTACGCTCATAAACATAGACGAATCTCACAAACATAATAATATTGAGTGAAGAAACAAGTCAAAAAGAATACCTACGACTGATACCATTTATCCAGAGTTTAGAAAGAGGCAAGCCTAAATGATACTGTTTAAGGATGCATACATAGATGATAAAGTTTAAGAAAAGCAAGGAAATGGTTATAACTAAAATCAGGAGTGTAGTTATCTCTGGAAGGAGGGAAAGAGGACTAGGATCAGAAAGGGATACTGAGGGAGCCTCAAAGGTACTGGCAATGTCTGTCTCTTAAGTTAGGTGGTAATTGCTAATATTCTCTAGATTAAAAATATGTTTTATATACTCTTATATTAATGTGTACATGTGTGCTATATTTCACATTTTAAATTATTACACATACCAAAAATTTTAAGTACCAAGTTTTAGATACTATAATGCCATATAACTTCTCACCTATCAAATTGGCTAAGCCCCAAAGGCCAACATACTATGTTGGCAGAGTGTGGAAAAACAGACATTCTCATTCACTGATGAGAGGAACGTGTGAATTTGACAATCTCTATCAAAATTACAAGTGAGCATAAAACAGATATATTTTCACCACATGTGCTAAATTATGACTATGCAATGGTATTTGTTGTAGCATTGATAGTAATAGCCCAAGGTTGGAAAATCAATGGCCATCAGTGGCTGGGTGCAGTGGCTCAGCCTGTAATACCAGCACTTTGGGAGGCCGAGGTGGGCGGATCACTTGAGGTCAGGGGTTCAAGACCAGCCTGGCCCACATGGTGAAACCCCATCTCTACTAAAAAATAAAAAAAATTAGCCATGTGTGGTGGCACACGCCTGTAATCCCAGCTACTCGGGAGGCTGAGGTGGGAGACTTGCTGGAACCCAGGAGGCGGAGGTTGCAGTGAGCCAAGATTGTGCCACTGCACTCCAGCCTGGGCAATAGAGTGAGACTCCATCTCAAAAAATAAAAATAAAATAAAATTAGCCGGCGTGGTGGTGCACATCAGTAATCCCAGCTACTCGTAGGCTGGGGCATGAGAAACGCTTGAATCCAGAAGGCAGCAGTTGCTGTGAGCCAAGATCTGCACTCCAACCCGAGTGACAGACCAAGACTCCATCTAAAACCAAAAAAAGACCACCGGTAGCCGACTGGCTAATTAAAGGATGGCACACCCATTCTTTAACATACACAATGGAGTGTATGTAGCCATTTAAAAGAATGAGGCAGCAATTTTTTTTTTCAGGAAAACTCTCCAATGTATATTTTTAAATGAGAAAAGGAAGATAGTAAAACAATGTATATTTCTGCTTAGCTTGTCTCAAAAATATTTATTAGTATAGAATATCTCTAGGGAAAAAAATCACACAAGAAATTGCTAATATTGCTTGCCGCAAGAGAGAATGACTGAGTAATTGGAGAGTGAGGCTTAATTTTTAATATATACACTTCTGCATCTTAATTTTGTTCCAAGTCAAGTAATACCTACTAATAATTATGACAGTCGTGGTGATGATGATGATGATGACTACAAGTGATGAAAAAGAGAATCAGGTGTATTGAGACTGAAATCCCAGCTCTGCCACTCACTAGTGATCATTGGTAAATTGCTTAACTTTTTGAAGGCTGTCCCTCAAATGAAAACATCGGGGGATCATACGAATCTCCTGGGCCGACTGAAAGTAGGTGCTCAACACACATGCGTCACATGCATACCGTATATGTACGGTGTTTGTCAGTGTGCCCGGCACATGGTAGCGCTCCATAGATGGAGCTTGTGCTGCTGCTGCTGCTGCTGTTGGAAGACATCTGTCTTGTCAACCATTCTGGATCTCTAGGACTTCAACCTGGGGACAAGGTGCTCTTCCCTGAAGCGAGCACCATCTTTGTTTCTCTGACACCTGAGGGAAAGCTCAGGGGGGAGCCAGCATTTTTGAGGTCTCCTCTCCATGTCCAGTGGCTGGGCCCCTGTCACCACCTCTAATTGGGATGGGGTGTGGTCCCTGGAGCTCCCAGGTATGCATCGACCTGTGCCCTGTGCACATGTGGCACTCCAAACTTTAAATTACTTGTGGGATTAGCAGGGCCCTGGAGTAACTAATGTGTCAGGGGCCCCATAGAGTACACGGTGCGGCTCGAGGATTCCTTCGGCTGCTGGGGAAAACCTACCTTCGGGATTTCTGGGCCTCAGGCCAGGAAGCCAGATCCTCTTCATGAAGAGTCTGGAGCTGGGACAGCAGCATTTAGCCAGCACAGCTGAAAGGAATGAAGTGAGAGAAACACCACCAAAGGCTAAAGTGCCCACACGATTTAAGAGGAAAAAGAAGAAAGAGGGTCTCCCAGGTAAGGCAGGGGCATGTCGGGGGTCTTTCTCTGGCACAGTGTCTAGCCAGGGATCCAGGGAGGAACTGAGAATTGCGTGTGGAATCAGGAGACTCAGAAGCGGCCATCGCGCAAGAAGCAGATGGGGAGAGCTGGGCTGGGGCGGGGGCAGGGATGGGGCGGGGCAGGGATGGGGACATGCCTCTTGCAGGACGTTTGCCTCAGATGCGCTTTCCTCCTCGCCCCGCCTCTGCTTCCAGAAACCTCCCAGCTGCCACTGGTCCTAAGCAGCAGCTGCTGCTGGGGCAGAGAGGAGCTGCTGGGCTCCCAGTGCCCGCCGGGGACCCCATGAACCAAGTCCCCTCCCTGTCCTTGCTGCTCTGTCCCTACGCAAGCCCCGAGGGGGCCTGGCAGGGCTTCCATCCCACTCCACAGGCGAGGAAGGGAGGCTCAGAGGAAAAGCGGACTCCCTCAGGGTCAGGGGGCGAGAGGCAGGTGGGCCTGTACCCAGCCCTGTCTCTAAGCCCACTCTGCGGCTAGCGCTTTCCGTTTCTCTCACCCGCCTCTGAGAAATGCTGAGATTTTTTCTGAATACAAAATAACTCGTATCCATGGTATTCAGAGAAAATTTGGGAAACACTGAAGAGGTACCGAGAGGAATGCTCTGCCCCTATGGATTTTGCTATCTTTTCTTTCCAGTCGCTTTTTTTTTTTTTTTTTTTTTTTTTTGAGATGGAGTCTCTGTCATCCAAGCTGGAGTGCGATGGCGTGATCTCGGCTCACTGCAACCTCCGCCTCCCGGGTTCAAATGATTCTCCCACCTCAGCCCCCGAAGTAGCTGGGATTACAGGCACATGCCACTATGCCCTGCTAACGTTTTTTGTATTTTTAGTAGAGTCGGGGTTTCACCATGTTAACCAGGCTGGTCTTGAAATCCAGACATCAAGCGATCTGCCTGTCTCGGCCTCCCAAAGTGCTGGGATTATAGGCGTGAGCCACTGCGCCCGGCCTCCAGTCACTTTCTATCCACATGATTGCTTACCTAATTGAGATCATAATAGTGTGTGCAAGTTTGACCTTGCCCTTTTAATTTATCATTATGCTATAGTAATATTAGCATGGAGAAAATTACCAATAGGACTATGAGGTCTGTCTAATATTCCATTATGTGAAAAGCATGATTTACTTAGGCACTTATTGGTGGAGAGCTGTATTGTTTTCTATTTTCATTCACAAATACTGCTGTGATAAATACCTTTATTGAGAGATCTTGGCCTCCATGCTCACTGATTCTTTAACACATTTCCTGAAGGGAGAACAGCTGAGGTGAGGGGCAGGCAGGTTTTTTGAATTTTTCCTTTTCCTAGGCAAATTTCCCTCCAGAAAGGCTGCATGAGAGTGTATGGCGCTCTTTTTACAGCACCACGTTGCCTCCTACTTCTCATCTGCCTGCTGGCTCCAGAACAGGTAGAGACAAGACCATGAGCCAAGCCAGGTCCCTGGGACAAACCAAGGCTCCATGCCTGCAGGAAGCGGCCACTGAGCCCAAAGCTTCCCCTCTTCCCCTTGCTCTCCCTAGCTGCCTCCCACCTCCCCGCTTCTCTCCCTCCTCTTATGGGGCTGCAGGTGCCAGACCTCTTTGTTTGCTTTCATTCTGAATCCCTTCCAAAACCTGACATAGCTCTACTAACTGTTGAATGTTTCTTGATGGACAACCAGGAATTCAGATCTCCCCTTCACACAGACACACACACACACACACACACACACACACCCCTCACATTCATCAGTGTGGGCAGCCACCTTCATCAAGGACCGCTCCCTGCTTGCAGAGGTCAGCACTGGAGGGTCCACGACAACCCTCAGAGCTGGGATGCCCTGGGAAGCAATTATTCAGCCTTCTCATGGAGCACATGGGGAAACTGAGGCCTAGGGGGGAGAAGAGACTTACTCCAGCTTGATGGAATATCCATCACCCAGGCAGGGGTAGTTCCACTAGCTCTGATCTCAGAGTGCAGAGTCTTCCCAGCTGTACAGTTCATTTCAATTAAACAAATGTACTCAGCAACTTTTCATAACAGACAGAGGCTTCCACAGAGGCAGCTCTCAAGGAGGCCAAATCCCACGCATCATTCATGCCCACAGGATGTTATTCATGGATAGAAACTTCTGTGTGCATAGATTTATCTTGTGGGAATGCGCAGTGTGGCTTCCCTAACAGAAATCACTTTCCTTGGCCTCTGCAACCACAGCATCTGCTTGAATCTGGTTTGTGGCACTGAATATAATGTTTGCTTTTCTTCATTTTCTGGAGTGGGTGAGAGGTGCACTAGGAGGAACAGGAGATAAGCTGGGGTGGAAGTTCAGGGTGGGGCACTCAGAGGGGGTCAGCTTGCACTGAGCAACCAGGAACACCCTTCTGTGCTGTATGAAGGGATGGGAAGAGGGGAATAGGATTGCACAGGAAATACCTTGAGACCCATGGTTGTGTAATGGGGGAAGCTTCTCCTGGGTTAGACCAATCGTTCTCTTCTGGGTATAATTTTGCACCGTCCCCCCCGCCAACCCCCCCCCCCCCGCCCCAACACACACACCTTTCCCCTGGAAGCATGTGGCAGCGTCTGGAAACATTTTGATTGTTACAACTCAGGGTAGAAGGTGCTATTGGCAACTGATTGGTGGAGGTCAGAGACTCTGCTAAACATCCTACAATGCACAGGACAGCCCTCACACCAAAGGGTTATCCAGCACAAAATGTCAATCGTAAAGAATTTGAGAAACCCTGAGTTCCATTTAGGGTGGGAGGTGCACTGCCTGACAACACATCTGACATAAACCCTCCCCCATGACTGAAGAGAGAGTGTTGGACAGACAGTGAGACTGGCCAGAGAATACACAGAGCTAATTGAGATCATAACAGTGTGTACAAGTTTGACTTTGTCCTTTTAATTTATCATTATGCTATAGCAATATTAGCACAGAGAAAATTATAAATAGGACTATAAGATCTGTCTAATATTGGAGGGACAGAATCTTTTGCAAAGCTGTGCACCAAAAGAGAAAAGCAGCTGTTTCGTGAAAGAACTCAGGACTAGGTCTTGGAATCCAACTCCAGCTCTGCCATTCAACCCCAAGGAGCAAATTTATCTTCTGAGCTCCAGTTACTTCACCTGTAAAACCTGAATGATAATATCTTCTCCATGAGCTGTTTCAAGAAATATGGCACAGCTTATATTCCTTAATATTAGTGAGAATCCCTAATATTCTCACTAATATTAATATTAACCACTCATCTTCCATCATCCACCCACTCTTATACACACTCATAGAGCCACTGTCATTAAGAAGGAGCTATCAAAATATTATCTATGAGTACTTTGAATTTAGAGTCAGGGAAATTGCAAGTAAGAGACTAGATATCCTCTATACAAAGGCATATAAGTCTTCCTATAAGCCAGCTGCTTGCATAGAACTCAAGAATGGAGTCAGAGAGTCAGAAGATAATGCAAGAATAAAATGCAAACATAAAAGGACAAAGAAAAAACATTCTTAGTCATTCACGGTTAGGAATTTCACAGACATCCTAATGAGATGGGATCAGAAGTTAATGCCATATACTCTACTATCGATAACTATAGTTAGAGTGTGGTTATTAATATTGCATTAACTAACTGGTAAGCTACACAGTGTTGTCTCATGGTGTGAGTTCAGTCACTCCAACAAATCCATTTGTTGGCTTCATAAATTTCCCAGCTATAGGACCTCCCCATATATTGCAATAAATCCATATTTCAAATAGGCAGATCTATTCCTGTCAATGCTCAAGCCTGTGTCACTAGACTGAAGAAGTAATGCTCTTTATGGCTGAATATTAACTAGGCTTGTTTCTGTGTGAATATGGTTGAACAATTTTGCGCAATTTCCTCCCCACGTGTAATCAAAGTTTAAAGAAACTTAATCACTTGCTAGGTCCAAGAATTGCATCTTCTTGGGAATTTTCCTCTCTGAGAATCTAAGAAAGCCCAGATCAAATGAAATTGCTGTGGATTTGCATTAAAGAGAAATAATTCATAGCATTTCCTAGCACTTAATCACAATGAAGAGGAAAAGCCCTCCTTGGGCCAGGGATATGCTCTGCTGGGTTCAAGTCTTGTCTCTGTCACCAACTTGCTCAGAAGATTTGGACAGGTCACTTCTCCTCCCCAGGCCTCTATCACCTTTGTGGACACTGAGAGGGTGCAGCAACTTCAGAAAAATCCCTCATGCACAACCGGACATTTGAGGCCCTCACCCACTACCTGTCCAGCTCTGACCTTCTGTCTTCTAAGACACCCCCTACTGTCTCTTTCCGTCATTTTTCTCTTGCACAGATATGTTCTTCTATTATGCAATGGGAACTTGACCACATATTAGATGCCTAGGACTCTTCCCAAAAAGCCTGATGCGCTGCTCAGTACTTTGCTGATGGCAGAGGGGATATCACATGGAAAAAGCCAATGAGACCTCCCCTGTGATGGGGTTCGTTCTCCTGAGGCTCTCTGCCCACCCAGAGCTGGAAAAGACATTCTTCGTGCTCATCCTGCTGATGTACCTCGTGATCCTGCTGGGCAATGGGGTCCTCATCCTGGTGACCATCCTTGACTCCCGCCTGCACACGCCCATGTACTTCTTCCTAGGGAACCTCTCCTTCCTGGACATCTGCTTCACTACCTCCTCAGTCCCACTGGTCCTGGACAGCTTTTTGACTCCCCAGGAAACCATCTCCTTCTCAGCCTGTGCTGTGCAGATGGCACTCTCCTTTGCCATGGCAGGAACAGAGTGCTTGCTCCTGAGCATGATGGCATTTGATCGCTATGTGGCCATCTGCAACCCCCTTAGGTACTCCGTGATCATGAGCAAGGCTGCCTACATGCCCATGGCTGCCAGCTCCTGGGCTATTGGTGGTGCTGCTTCCGTGGTACACACATCCTTGGCAATTCAGCTGCCCTTCTGTGGAGACAATGTCATCAACCACTTCACCTGTGAGATTCTGGCTGTTCTAAAGTTGGCCTGTGCTGACATTTCCATCAATGTGATCAGCATGGAGGTGACGAATGTGATCTTCCTAGGAGTCCCGGTTCTGTTCATCTCTTTCTCCTATGTCTTCATCATCACCACCATCCTGAGGATCCCCTCAGCTGAGGGGAGGAAAAAGGTCTTCTCCACCTGCTCTGCCCACCTCACCGTGGTGATCGTCTTCTACGGGACCTTATTCTTCATGTATGGGAAGCCTAAGTCTAAGGACTCCATGGGAGCAGACAAAGAGGATCTTTCAGACAAACTCATCCCCCTTTTCTATGGGGTGGTGACCCCGATGCTCAACCCCATCATCTATAGCCTGAGGAACAAGGATGTGAAGGCTGCTGTGAGGAGACTGCTGAGACCAAAAGGCTTCACTCAGTGATGGTGGAAGGGTCCTCTGTGATTGTCACCCACATGGAAGTAAGGAATCACAATCACATCAGCTGCCATTCAAAAGCCAAGTCATGTGACCTATAATGGTTTCTCACTCTAAGTCCATTTGCAGGAGATATTAAACTTTTCAGACGATATCTCCTGAGTTTTAGTCCTATGTCTGACAGCTTCAACAGACACCAGACTCAATAAATAATCAACTGTGATGAAGGCATTCTGAACATACGGTAAAACCACACGAGACAGCAGCCATGAAAGCATGACGCATGGCCCTTAGAGTGTCTCAGCTCTAGAGTTAGAACAGGGACGTGAGAATGTTCTCACAGCAACTTACCAGCCCTACTGGATTCACCAGGGAAATCAGAGAAATAAGGAGGGAGTGGAAACTTTTACTGAGGCTTCAGTTTATTACACTCAGTTTGCCTGAATGGCTAAGAAAAGGTAAGTTCTTCACTTAGGGAGCTTTTAGTTGTGAATAATCTATTTTGATGACTGAATATCTTTTTAGCTATGAGAAAATTTAGGCTATTTTTTCCTGATGCACTGCAGATCATTGAACACCACCTAGTAAATTAAATAAAATTCAAGGAGTAATGAGTTCAAATTTGACGTTCTTACAGAATTTCACAACAGCAAAGCTTGTATTCTGATAGATGCCAAATCATGTTCTAGAAAAAAGATGATGGTAGATAGATATAGATAGAAGTAGACAGATGGTGGCTACACATGTTTGAAGACTTTGGGTCTAATTTCTTTTTTTTTTTTTTTTTTGAGACAGAGTCTCGCTGTGTCACCCAGACGAGAGTACAGTGGTGCAGTCTCGGCTCACTGCAACCTCTGCCTCCCAGGTTTAAGCAAGCCTCATCCCTCAGCCTCCTGAGTAGCTGGGACTACAGGCATACACCACCATGCCCGGCTAATTCTTGTATTTTTAGTAAAGACAGGGTTTCACCATTTTGGCCAGGCTGGTCTCAAACTGCTGGCCTCAAGTGATCCGCCCGACTCAGCCTCCCAAAGTGCTGGGATTACAAGCGTGAGCCACAGTGTCCTAGCCTATGGGGCTAAATTTTCATAGGTTTCTTTGTTCCAAGACTTCTCAGAGCCTTTATTATGCAAAGGTCCACTGTGAATGTTCAATAGGGTATAAAGTTGTAGCATTTCCTGAGCCTCCAAAGTTCAGCACAATAAAAATTGGGAAGCTTTTTTTTTTTTTTTTTTTTTTTGAGACAGAGTCTTGCTCTGTCATCCAGGCTGGAGTGCAATAGTAAGACCTCGGCTCACTGCAACCTCCGCCTCCCAGGTTCAAGCGATTCTCCCACCTCAGCCTCCAGAGCAGCTGGGATTACAGGCACCTGGCATCATGCCCAGCTAATTTTTGTATTTTTGTAGAGATGGGTTTCACCATGTTGGCCAGGCTGGTCTTGAACACCTGACCAAGTCCAAGGTGAACTCCTGACCAGGCCAAGGTGATCCGCCCACCTCAGCCTCCCAAAATGCTGGGATTACAGGCCTGAGCCACTGCGCCAGGCCAATGTTTTTTTACCTAAGGGTTTGGGCAGATTCCTTAACCTCTTTTGCCTATCTATTCATAGACACAGAAGACATACAAGAGGTTCAGAAATTGCTGTGGATGAAAAGCAGCAGTTTTATGGCAAGTTATATCAAAGTCTGAGAATATCAAAAGACTTATTTAAAAGGAAACTTTAGAAAGTGAATCTGTTTTTAAGAATAGTTCTTGGAATATTTTTGCTTCAAGTGATATATTTAAGTTTTCTTATATTTGTCAAGAATGAATTGGATCACTCGAGCTCAGGAGTTCAAGACCAGCCCGCGCAACATAGTGAGACCTTATCTCTATTAAAAAAACATTGAATTGCATAAGATAAGGATGTATATGTTGCTAATAAAATTTCACTATATTGTGTTAGTCTAAGGTTCTGATTTCTACTTGCCCTAGAAGAGAAACGATCTTGCTACTGCAGATACACAAGAGTGACATCTAGTGGCCATGCAAGCCAACTTCAGACATTTACAGAGCCATGTCGTGTTTTTAGAGGCAGCTGCACAGGTCTCTTTCTTCACCGCTAACTGCATAGTTCATGGAGTTTCTCTCCAATATCCCTGACCCCACTCATCCAGCATCTGCTTGGATACCTCCAGTGATAGAGAATTAACACTTCCAGGTTCTAGCTGTTTCATTCAGCCCTACTAGCAAATTCTTCCTTGAATTGTGCTAACATATACGTGTCTCCATTAACATCTGTCTCCGATAGCATCTTCCAGTCCTAATTCAGCTTCGTGCCTTTACATGAAATACACCTTATCTCTTCTTTCTTCCGATATATAAAGATTGTTCTCCTGGTTCCTGGGTCTTTTTCCCTCCAGCATAAATAGCCCGCATACTTCCACCTGTGCCAAAATCACCCAGTTTACCCAACTGACAGGTACTAAATTGTGTCCACAGTATCATCTAATTCCAGTGTGATATTTCTGAAAATACCTTGGGAATAATAATGATGGTGCTAAGCTAACTCTGTTTCCCCAGGGCAGTGGAGATCTGTCTGGCAGAGAGAGATACTTGAACAAGCCTGCCTTCTTGTGAGGCTGTCCTCCACTCACTTTCTCTTCCTTGAGGAATGGCAGTCATATCCATTTATATTATAAATTACATTATTATAGTGTAACTGTTGAGTCAGAAATTACATTGCTTCCTCTAGGAACAGTGGCACCTTTCACTCCCACTCTCTTTTGGGTGTCAAGGGGAGGCAAAACTATTATATTATTATACTTAATCATACAGACAAATGTATTATTTTAAAAATCACAGTTCTGGGTTAGTGGGTGCTTTAGGCTTTTACTCTAGTGACCAAATGCCCTACGAAATCTTTAAGTTAAAACTCCAAATATAAAGTATATCTGCTTTGGCTGAAATGGAGGTGGGGGGCAGAATAGATGTGGGGGCCAGGGGAGGGAGTTGGGCTCCATCTGCTCAGCCCACCCTTCATCCCCATCCCCAGGGTCCCCAGTCCACAGACACCACCAAACACTAATCTGATCCAAACCACTGGTGCCAAGAAAAGTAGACATTTTGTAAGGATATTTTGTTCCACTCCCAGAAATAAATGTGAAAATTTGGGGGGGAAATTTATATTCTAAGAAAAAACAGATTACCCAGTTAACCATTAAAAAGATAGACAACTTAAAATACCAATTACCTAAGGAGAAGTTGACAACTTGTCAGTTACCACCTTAAGATGTTCCAGGCCATCTGTTTCCACAGATGAGTGGTAATAAACATTCAAGGAACAAAAGGTTTTTAATACTGTTTAAACAATTTCAGAGAATAAAGTGAGAAAGATATCTTCCAAATTGCTTTAACCAAGCCAGCATAACATTGATGCCATACCATTAAAAACATAACAAGGAAGTACAGGAAATGAAAACACCACCTTTTCCTTTCCTATCTCATCTATTTACCTACGTGTGTATGTATGTAGATGCACGCATACATATAAAATAGAATTCAGCAGCACATAGAAAGAATACTAAACCATAGCCTAATGGACTTATTTTTAAAAAATAAAGCTAGAATAATTTAAGGATATGTCTTGGTATAATTCTCTACGTTTATAGGTTAAATAGATCCTCAAAACTATTGAAAAAGTTGAACATGAATTTCTTAGTTTTAAATTCCTTCTAATAAAATAGGAATGGATGTGTTCTTTAATAAAATTAAATTTATATCTCTAGTGAAAAGTATGTGTCATGCGTAATGGTGCATCAAATCAAATCTGTTACACTTTAACCCTTTTCTGGATATACCAACCATTGAATTAGAGAGTAGAGATAAATAAATAAAAGGTGAAACTAGAAGAAAGGTAAAGAATAATTTTATTATTATTGTTAGCTGATACACTCATAATTTTATACCTGGATAAAACAGTAAAATCAATCAAAAGGCAATTTTGAAAAACAGTAGGAGAATTCAATAACGAAGCTGCATAAAAAATTAATATGCAAAAATCCAGGTTCTAGAGGGGAAAGGGGGAAAACGGAAGGGGGAAAGAGGGGAGGAGAGAGAGGGGAAGAGAAAAAAGAGGAAGAGAGGGTGAGAAGGAGAAAGGGGAGGAGATTTGGGGGAAGAAAAAGGAGGAAAGAGAGAGGGAAAGATGAGGAAAGAGAGAGGGAGAGACAAGGAAAGAGGAGGAGAGGGAGAGACAAGGAAAGAAGAAGAGAAGAAGAGACAAGGAAAGAGGAAGAGAGGGAGAGGGAGAGAGAAGGAGAGAGATAGAGAGAAACCGGTTGTCTTGGACTCTTGAGTCTTCAGCAGCAGTCATCACCGTCCTCCCTACCAGCTAAACAGGGCCTTTTCTCATCTTCTAGCTTGAGGCAAAATCTGCCTTTTTCTCCACAGTGATGTCATAAGAAAAGATCACAGTCGCATAACTTGTCCCCTTTCTAGCAATAAGAACCCGCATATTTCTTTCAGGGGGAAAGATATGGAAGAATTTTTATAGGGACTATGCAGCAAGATTTTGAAATAGAGATTTCAAGTGGTTTATCATAGAAGGTATCTAGAACACAATCCTATAGGGATTTCATGGATCATTATCAATTCTCTGTCTGTCCCTAATCAGATTAAACTGTGTTGTTGAGAGAAGGGGTGTATGGGTTATGCCATAGTATTTAGACAAAAGAAAATAAACAGGTGCAAAGTTATACTATTCCAAGTAATTCAACTGGAATGGGAATAAGTAGAAAAGAAATGAAACAGGAGCTCAAGGTTGGTTGATAACACTGATTGCTCTTGGTATAACTGAGATGGAGTAGAGACTCCTCCTAGGGACTTGCGGGCACCAAAGCATAGAAATAAAGTAAAATCTTGAGTTCCTTTGAAGGAAATTCCGGGGACCTAGCTAGCCTTAAGAAGTGAATGAGCAACTCGATAAGCTAGAAGGTAATAGTAGCTTAAAACAATAGCCAAGGAAGTTAGAGTCAGGAGAACGTTTGGTTCCCTATAGAAACTAGAGATAACATCTTAACATATGTCCCTGAGTTGTTTTCTAGAAACCCAGATTCTTACCAAAGGAATCCCCTGGCACACAGACCTCAGATAAGGGGGAACTGAGGGCTGAACTCTAATGGCTGTCCTTTGTTCTAGATTTCTTCCTGAGAGGCCTGGAAGAGGTCACACCCACGAGCCAGGGCTAACATTCTTTTCTGATGATAACAAATTTTCAGACAAAGCCTCACTTCCTTAACCAAGTCAGAAAATCTTCGAATCGGCAGGATGCAGTGGCTCACGCCTATAATCCCAGCACTTTGGGAGGCCAAGGCTGCAGGCAGAGTCACCTGAGGTCAGGAGTTCAAGACCAGCCTGGCCAACATGGCGAAGCCCTGTCTCTACTAAAAATACAAAAATTAGCTGGCCATGTTGGCGCGCACCTGTAATCCCAGCCACTTGGGAGGCTGAGACAGGAGAATCAATTGAACTCAGGAGGTAGAGGTTGCAGTGAGCAGAGATCATGCCACTGCACTCCAGCCTGGGTGACAGAGGGAGACTCCGTCTCAAAAAGCACAAACAAATTTTCGCAACCTACTCATCTGACAAAGGGCTAATATCCAGAATCTACAATGAACTCAAACAAATTTACAAGAAAAAAAACAAACAACCCCATCAAAAAGTGGGCAAAGGATATGAACAGACACTTCTCAAAAGAAGACATTTATGCAGCCAAAAGACACATGAAAAAATGCTCATCATCACTGGCCATCAGAGAAATGCAAATCAAAACCACAATGAGATACCATCTCACACCAGTTAGAATGGCGATCATTAAAAAGTCAGGAAACAACAGGTGCTGGAGAGGATGTGGAGAAATAGGAACACTTTTACACTGTTGGTGGGACTGTAAACTAGTTCAACCATTGTGGAAGTCAGTGTGGCGATTCCTCAGGGATCTAGAACCAGAAATACCATTTGACGCAGCCATCCCATTACTGGGTATATACCCAAAAGACAATAAATCATGCTGCTATAAAGACACATGCACACGTATGTTTATTGTGGCACTATTCACAATAGCAAAGACTTAAAACCAACCCAAATGTCCAACAATGATAGACTGGATTAAGAAAATGTGGCACATATACATCATGGAATACTATGCAGCCATAAAAAATGATGAGTTCATGTCCTTTGTAGGGACATGGATGAAATTGGAAATCATCATTCTCAGTAAACTATCACAAGGACAAAAAACCAAACACTGCATGTTCTCACTCATAGATGGGAATTGAACAATGAGAACACACGGACACAGGAAGGGGAACATCACACTCTGGGGACTGTTGTGGGGTGGGGGGAGGGGGGAGGGATAGCATTGGGAGATATACCTAATGCTAGATGACAAGTTAATGGGTGCAGTACACCAGCATGGCACATGTATACATATGTAACTAACCTGCACATTGTGCACATGTACCCTAAAACTTAAAGGAGAATAATAATAAAAAATAAAAAAATAAAAATAAAAAAAGAAATTTAATTTTTTTTCTTGAAACTATAATAAAATTAAGATAAAATAGCAAAAAAAAAAAAAAGCACAAACAAAAAAGAAAATCTTCGACTCTTCCTATGACCTGTGGGCCCCTCCTAATCACCACCCCCAACACACATACACGTGCTTTGAGATGTCCTGCCTTTTTAGGTTAAACCTAATAATAATGATTTATGACTTTGCCTGTAACCTCTGCCTCCTCACCTTTATTTTTTATTTTTTTGAGATGTAGTTTCACTCTTGTTGCTCAGGCTGGAGTGCAGTGGCATGATCTTGGCTCACTGCAACCTCCGCCTCCTGGGTTCAAGCGATTCTCCTGCCTCAGCCTCCCTAGTAGCCGGGATTACAGATGCATGCCACCACACCTGGCTAATTTTTGTATTTTTAGTAGAGACAGGGTTTCACCATGTTGGCCAGGCTGGTTTTGAACTCCTGAGCTCAAGTAATCCACCCACCTTGGCCTCCCAAAGTGCTGAGATTACAGGTGTGAGCCACCATGCTCAGCCAGAAAATTTTTTTATTATTACAGTTTGGATGGTGCACATTTGAAAATGATCAATTTCTCTGCTTTCTTAAGCGGAGCTTATTGGTTATAATGTTACATTGTGAGTGAGTCACAGTCATCATTTATGACTATTGTAAGGTAATTGCGCAGGATAAAAGTGGCATCTCCTAAGGGGCATACTCAGGGTCCAAAAGAGGCTACTTGGAATTGGCAACACCGGGGGTCAGGATGGCTAAGACAGAACCCGTCTCAGTTCAGGTGGTGGCTCTAGTGATACCAGCCCAGAACAGGATGGAGGAGAGGCTCCTCAGTGCCATCCTGTTGAAAAACAGAGTCCAAGAGTAAGCTCCCCTTCTCTGGGACAAGATAGTGTTTTGTCCTAAATAATAATAATAATTGCTTTGGAGAGATGTGCTTGCTCACAGATAACTTGCACAGTTATGATTCTTGCTGGTGGAATTAGGATCTATTCCTCCCACTTCAGAGTTGACAGACTTGGGCAGAGGGGAGTCTCCATTAACTTTTGTGCAAAGCCTGAGCTCTGGAGTTTTCCACTGAGAGGCAGAAAGGATAGAGTTCCCAAAGGAAGGGATGTGTGGCTTCTGGGCATGTGACCTGCAGAGGAGTTGTTAGGAGCAGAAAGGGTGTGAGGAGGAGATAGAAAGAGGTCAGGAGAGAGGGAGCCTCCAAAGGTCTCAGCCTGGAGTTTCCTCTCCTTAGCTGCAAAGACCAAGGCTCTCATCCTTCTGCTGCTGTGCTCTGAGACACTCACCTGGCCCTTCAGTAATTTGGCTGGTCTAGGGAGGCTGGGAAGCTAGAGACAGGAAGGTATTTGCTTCCTGATTGCCACAGGCTGAAATGCAGTTCAGCGTCAACCACCTTCTCTCCCCTCCTCCACTCACATTTTTAAAATATCTGTGGCAGTGCCACCCCTGAGCACTAGTGGCCATTGACAGGTGACATTCCAGGCCTATAAGACTGAGTGGCTTGTTCCTGATGGTCCTCAACCTCCCTGCCCTACACACTCACCCCATGACCTAGTAAAGATCACTTCCCAGGTCTGCAAGGGAGGGACTCACCTCCACACCCACACTAGAGTCTATCTGTTTTCCGTTTCTAGTTTCCTCCCTCATTGTCAAGCTGTCAGCAGTAAATTCCAACTTGTTTTTATTAAAAAGGAATGGGGACACTTATGTGGTTATTTTAGCCAAGATGCATATTCTAAATCTAATCATGATGAGACATTGCACAAACCCCAATTTTATAAAACACCTGGCCTGTATTCCTCAAAAACATCAATATTATGAAAGACAAAGTATGGCTGAGGAACTATTCCAGATGAAAGGAATCAAAGAGAAGTGATGAAAACACGGAACGTATGATCCTGGGCTGGATACTATACTGGAAAGTGTTGCTATAACTGTATTGGCTATAACTGTGGCAACCATTGACATTTGAATGTGAACTGTAGATAAGACAATCATATTGTAGCAATGCTGAATTTCCTGAGTTTGATCATTGTAGTGGAATACAGTGAAAGAATATATGTGTTTTTATGGAATACACATGACATACACAACCTACCTTGAAATCATTCAGGAAAACTATGTATACACACACACACACACACACACACACACACACACACACAGAATGATAAAGCAAAGCAAATGTAGTAAAATGTTAACAAGTTGATAGACTGCATATGGGTTTTTTTTAATATGATTATTGCAACTTTTCTTTAAGTTTGAAATTCTTTCAAAGAAAATAAATGTCGAAAAGAAAGTGATGAGGAACTCCAAAAAAAATCATGGAAGGACTATTTAAATATCAGCAATTCAAATAAACATGAAAAAGTTCAACATCACTAACAACCCAAGTGGTGCAAAATGGTACGTTAAAAATCGAATCCCATTAACCTACTACAGAAAAGGATAATATAATATCCATTTTTGGTCATGGATCAGTGACACAGGAGCCCTTGTCCCTGCTAGTAATTGGACACTGTTTTTGAAAAACAATTTCAGACTTTAAAATGCTCTTATAAGGCCAAGTATGGTGGCTCACACCTGTAATCCCAATGCTTTATAAGGAGATCAAGGTGGGAGGATCATTTGAAGCCAGTAGTTGGAGACCAGCCTGGGCAATATAGCAAGATGCCATCTCTTTACAAAAAAAATTTTTTTTAGGGCCAGGTGCAGTGGTTCATGCCTGTAATCCCAGCACTTTGGGAGGCTGAGGCAGGCAGGTCACTGGAGCCCAGGAGTTTGAGACAGTCTGGACAACATGGAGAAACCCTGTCTCTACAAAAAAAAAAAAAAATTAGCCAGATGTGATGGCAAGCACCTTTAGTCCCAGCTATTCAAGGACCTGAAGTGGGAGGATCACTTGAGCTCAGGAGTTTGAGGCTGCAGTGAGCCATGATCATGTCACTGCATTCCAGCCTGGGTGACAGAGCGAGACTCTGTCTCATGAATAAACAAATAAAATATTCTTTTCCTTCTTCTTTTTGAGACAGGGTCTTGCTCTGTTGCCCAGGCTGGAGTCCAGTGGTATGTTAATGGCCCACGGCAGCTTTGACCTCCTGTGCTCAAGCAATCCTCCCACCTCAGCCTTTGGAGTAGCTGTGACTACAGGTGCACACCGCCACGCCTGGCTAATAAAATGCTCTTATACTTAGACCTCATAATGGAATTCTTAAAAATTTATCCTAAAGAAAAAAAAAATCAGAGATAGAGATAGAGATTTTATGGCTGGGTGCGGTGGCCCACGCCTCTAATCCCAGCACTTTGGGAGGTTGAGGCGGGCGGATCACGAGGTCAGGAGATTGAGACCATCCTGGCTAACACGGTGAAACCCCGTCTTTACTAAAAAATACAAAAAAAATAGCTAGGCATGGTGGCAGGCGCCTGTAGTCTCAGTTACTCGGGAGGCTGAGGCAGGAGAATGGCGTGAACCCGGGAGGTGGAGCTTGCTGTGAGCCGAGATCGCATCACTGCACTCCAGCCTGGGCGACAGGGCGAGACTCCGTCTCAAAAAAAAAAAAAAAAAAAGAAAAAGAAAAGAAAAATCTCTATGATGTAATTTACCAAGGAGAAAAACAGCATCATCTAAATGTCCCAAAATAGCATAATGGTTAAGTAGATGATAGTATACTTATACATGAAAAAAGCCAGTTTTTCATACAGACCCTCACCAAGAAGAAAATATAATAAGGAAAAAAATGTTCCTCTATATTAGCAACAAAATGGAGGGAAAATGCCCTAGAATAAAGTTAAGAATCCACGGTATGTACATAAATAAGAACATAATACTCTATTGGAATAACTCAAAGAAATATTTTAATAAATTTAAAGATAAATTTGGATAAGAAATCTCAAGGCTGGGTGTGGTGGCTCATACCTGTAATCCCAGCACTTCGGGAGGCTAAGGTGCACAGATCACTTGAGGCCAGGAGTTTGAGACCAGCCTGGACAAGATGATGAAACCCTGTCTCTACCAAAATTACAAAAATTAGCCAGGTGTGGTGGCACGTGCTCATAATCCCAGCTACTCGGGAGGCTGAGGCAGGAGAATTGCTTGGACCTGGGAGGCGGAAGTTGCAGTGAGCTGAGATCACCATCTGGGCAACAGAGCAAGACTCTGTCTCCAGAAAGACAAAACAAAACAAAACAAAACAAAAGAAAAAGAAAGAAAGCAAGAAAAGAAATCTCAAAAATGTAAACTTTTCAAGCCTTCTAAATTAATAAATTCAATGCAACCTCAATCACTAACAAGCTAATTCCAATTCACATAAACAATTATATATAAATTAATTCATATAGAAAACTTGTCTTGGAAAATGATCAGGAGGGGAAAACTAGTCCCACTAGATATCAACATGTATAAAAGTTACAGTGATAAAAAGTTTGGTACTGGTAAAGAATAAATAGATCAATCGTTGGTACAGAATAAAGTCTAGAACTAGACCCAAGGATATATGGCCATTTAATTTGTGATAAAGTTAATATGCTAATCGTTAATCTATTGTCCCCCCCGCTTCTGAAGTATGCCTCTATACTCAATTTGTGACATGGCTGAAACTCAAAACCCATTTCTACTTTGGCAGGTGACTCCCTGTAGACCGACCCACAGAGGGCGCAAGAGGGAGCGTGGAGGACCAGACGAGGGAAAAGATTCTTTTTTTCTCTCTCTCTTGGGAAAAGAGGGAAGAGCTTCTTGCTCCTTCCGGTTTGCTTCCTGTTCCTGTCCGCTTAGCCCCGCAGTGTTCATTGGGTGGTCCTATATCCTGGTTTCTCAACACTTTCAGAACTAGGCTCATTGTTTAGGATCTCAGTTCCAGAATGCCCTTTCTCAGACACCAAAATGAATTCCAAAGAGACCAAAGATTAAAATATAAAAAATAAAATATTATGGATTCTAGATGACAGGGGTAAGGAGGAATCTGGGAAAATGGCAGTTTGTTCTGTAACATCCATGATGCATCCCGACCCAGCCGCAGCCCAGCTGCTGTTCTCCTAAGCTAGGGAGCTGCTGAGGCTGAAAGGTGTGGGCAGTGCCAGTGGCTCGGGTGGGCACATACCAGACAGGAGTGGAACAGGAATTTTCACCTCTGTGCCAGAGGAGATCCTGGAAACAAGCCTCAAAAAGTCTTGAGGCAAGAAAAAGGAGGAATACTGTGGTATCTGGGAGTCAGTTTGAACAGGCCATGGCTACAGGGGGGCAGGGCTGTGGCTTCCATGTCAGTGTTGCCAAAAGAGCTAGAGGTCTGGGAGGAGTCTCCCTGTCCTCAAGGAGGAGCTGAGTTCTCTCTCCCCCAGCAGGGGATGTCCCAGGTGTTACCAGCCCTTCCAACTTGGGGCCTATTAAAGGATTGATAACTGGCCAGTGGCTCACACCCCTATCCCCATGGGCAGACTATGGTGTCTGCCCCTCTCTCAGGATAGCCGCTCCCTAAAGACCTCTAGCAGCTGGGAACCCAGCAGCCAGACACAAGAGCAAACAGAACCAGAGAAACATGTCTCCTAGTGTAATTGAACTGCTGGAGGAATCAGAACATGCCAAGGGCACTCAAGGAGCTCTAAGTCCAGTATACAAAAAAAAAAAAAAAAAAAAAAAGTCTCTCTGATAAGACAGCAGATTGAACACTTGCATATAGTGAAGTTAGCTAAGAAGAGAAGACACTATGCAATGCAGTTCAAGGGGAATTCGAGGGCAGACGAGGACTTTCTTTGGGGGGTGGGGGTGCAGATAAGAAAGGTTTAAAAGTGTTCAGAGAAGGAAACGCAGGGATTTGAATCCAACTCTAACTCCAAAGCCCACGCCCTTTTCTCTGGCAGCACTTTGCTAGGATCTGGTAGGGCCCAGAGACAAGTGAGAATAGAGCTTGCTCTCCTCGTATTTTAGAACAGAGACAGAGCAAGCAGGTGAAGGTCAGTTATCCCATTCTTCTCCCAGAAGGGCTTTCACTGCCCAACACAGCTCAGGTCCTCCTTTCACAAAACAAACTCTCAGATGGACTCTGGCTGGCAGAGGTATATCTCAGTCCTGTTCTTTAAGTCACTGAGTAAACAGCATTTTGGTAATTCCTACAGCAGCTTCGTAGAAGTACTAAAACTCTTCCCTACCCACACCCCATGTCCCTCAAGTCTGGCTGAAAGAAAACAGGAAAGATTTGAGGCCCTGGGGCCCTTGGCAAAAAGCCTATGTGTGGCAGAGGTTTGTCTGCAGCCTCCCTGACTTTCGCCACACCTACCTCGTAAGGACTTAACTGACTGTCTCAGGGTAAGACCCTGAAAAGAGAATTTGAGGTGTTGACTCTTTCTGACCCCCATCATCCCAATTACATACTTATCCACATAATAACAGCTCAGTGACAACTTCTTGTCATTATGGCTTTGAAAGCTTCTACTACGTCCCAGACAAGGACTCCTTTTTCTCCCCCCAGTACAACAATGTTTTTATCCAATGACATATGCTACAAGAATATTCTGACTTTCTGATTTCAGGCAAAGACACACTCACCAACTTATTACTTGACACAGCAAGTCCCAGTCAGAGAATACCATATGAAACAAATAGGAATTTGCAAGAATCCAAAACATAGGCTGCATCCCCAGCCCACCGCCATGGTCACCTACAAGCTAGTACTGATCAGATGTGGTGAGAGCACGTGGAACCTGGAGAATCACTTCAGCAGCTGGTACAATGCCAATCTAATCCTGGTAGGCCACAAGGAGGCAAAGCGCGGCAGGCAGGCTCTGCGAGATGCTGGCTATGAGTTTGACACCTGCTTCCTCTCAGTGCAGAAGAGAGCGATCGGATCCTCTGGACAGTGCTAGATGCCATTGATCAGATGCGGCTGCCAGTAGTGAGGACTTGGTGCCTCAAGGAGTGGCATTACGGGAGTCTGGCTGGCCTCAATAAAGCAGAAACTTCTGCGAAGCATGGTGAGGCCCAGGTGAAGATCTGGAGGCACTCCTGTGATGTGCCACCACCTCCGATGGAGCCCGACCATCATTTGTAGAGCAACATCAGTAAGGGTTGCAGGTATGCAGACCTCACTGAAGATCAGCTATCCTCCGGTGAGAGTCTGAAGGAAATAGTTCCTCAGATCAAGGAGGGGAAATGGGTACTGACTGCAGCCCATGGCAACAGCCTTCGGGGCATTGTCAAGCATCTGGAGGGTCTCTCTGAAGAGGCTATCATGGAGCTGAACCTGCCGACTGGTATTCCCATCGTCTATGAATTGGACAAGAACTTGAAGCCCATCAAGCCCATGCAGTTCCTGGGGGATGAAGTGACTCTGTGTAAAGCCATGGAAGCTGTGGCTGCCCAGAGCAAGGCTAAGAAGCGAAGGCCAGCAGGCATGCTACTGTCCCCCGGAACACCCTCCCTGGCCATCCCTTCCTCTGCCCCTGCCCCCTGCACATGTCACACTGACCACATCTGTAGGCATCTTATGTTGTAGCTGCAGATGGGGACCAGTGGCTCACATTTTCGTTTTAGCCATTTGTCTCCTGCACCCACTCCCTTCATACAGTCTAGTCAGAATAGCAGTTCTAGGTCACAGGTTCTCAGTCCAAGCTGAGGAAAAGATTCCCTTGTCCAAGAGAGTTGAAAGGTAGTGACTTGGGTTTTTGCCAGTGTTTTCTTTACTAAGGATTTGTGGAGAGGAACCATGCTAAGCCATGACCAATGAGGAGAAGCAAGAGCACCTATCTGGCCCCAGGAGCCAGTTCTCTGCTCTTCTGCAGTCAGGCCACTGCCTGGGGGCTCTAGTCATTCCAGTGGAAGATGAATGTAACCTGCATGATGATGTGACAAACAACATTTCCTCCCCAACCCCAGAAGAGCTGGCTCTAGAAGGTTGGGATCAATCCTGAATTTAGTTTATGTGTTACATTTACTTTTACCGAAAAAAAAAGTATAGTATATGTAAATAATACTAAACAGTAACCTTTCTGGTGTTTCTTGTAGTGATTGAAATAGTCCCACATGTGGTCATCAGAATATAAGCCATTCCTCATACCAAGATGAGATAAGCTCTGAGGGGTAGGAGTGCCTCCTGCTGTGTGTTTTAGAATCCTTCACCTGCCTTGTTTCATGGTGGTGAAATGCCTCTTCGTCCTGTCCAAGTATGTCTTTCACGGATTGATTTCTGAATCATGTTCTAGTTGCTTGGCCCTGCCACAAGGGCCTAGTGTTCATTTAAGCATAACTGTACTAAATCCTTTTTCTGCGCATGCCTGTAATCCCAGCTACTGGGGAGGCCGAGGCAGGAGAATCGTTTGAACCCAGGAGGCGGAGGTTGCAGTGAGCCAAGATTGCGCCATTGCCCTCCAGCTTGGGCAACAGGAGCGAAACTCCATCTTCCAAAAAAATAAAAAATAAAGGAGTGATGTGCAATACAATTTTTTAAAAAAGAATCCCAAACATATTGGCATGCAAGGGGGATGAAGAGATAGGTAGCATCTTCTGTGATATGTCAGTGGGCTGTGCACGTGCACTATTTTTTACATTATTTGAAGCACTCACGTACTTAGTTTTTATTTTGCCCTAAAAGTATTTTTTGTGCTATGATTTTATTTGTGGTGCCCTTTGAGTGCAAGATGATTATGAAGCCTCAAAATGTTGAAAAATTGTTGAAGAAAATAGTACAGAAAGAAGACTGCACCTGCCAAAGAATGACCTCTCCGATCTCTTCTCTACCAGCCCACTCACATCTTTCTTCCTCCCTTGAGAGTAAAATATGCTCCACTATAGTATCTTTCACATATAAATGCCTTCTACCTATGTACTTCTACCTAATAACTTTCTAATTATTGTTTCTTACATAAACTTGCTTTCATTGTTCAGTCAATAGATTTTTCTATGTGTGAATATTGAGGATATCATTGGTCAGAATGAAATGCATCATAGGTTTCCCATTAAAATAAATGGAAATATTTTTCCATCTAATGATTTATTTTCCCCTGAGCAGCAAGGTTTTTCAGGAAAGAATTGACATCTTTAAGCAAAGGATAGGTGTTTTATATGTTTTGTATATGCGATGCTCCCTACAGAGTAAAAGTGAAGTCACATTGCCCCCATGGAGCTCATGGCTACTATTTCAGGAATGAATTGAAGTGCCTGGAAAACTTAAGTCCCTGGGATGACTAGACATGTCCCTATTCCTTGCTGCAGGTAGGAAGACAGCATTCTCAACATGTTGTATTTGTGATCAGAGGGACCAAGATTTGGCCTCTCACCACTAAGAGGAAATGACCTAGAGACCTATGGACTATGCCCCATGAAGTCAAGTTAACATAAGGGAAAAGGTGTGTATCAGCAAGGATTAGGCTTAACTGCAAATAATAGAGTCTCACAGAAGCACTGTTTAAACCAGATGGCAGTTTATTTCTCTGTCCTGTGTAGAGACTGAAGCATAGGCAATCTGGGACTGTGGTAGGAGCTCTATTCCTTCAAGTCCTCAGGGTCTCAAACTCCTTCTAGCTTACTTCTTAATCATCCCTACAGTGTGGTCCGTATTACCTCACAGTCTAAGAAGGCAGCAAGAGCTCCAGCTCCACAGCACATTCCAAGCAGTAGGATAGAAAGAGTGACAAGGAGGAAGGGATGCAAAGGCCATATACCAGCTGTCCTCTAAGAAAGGTTTCTAGAAGCTACCATACTTTAATTCTGCTTGTAACTTATTAGCCTGAACTTATTCATGTGGCCACAGAAGATGCAGTTCACTGCAGAAGATGCTGAAAAATAAAGCCTTAATTCTGGGCGGCCATGTTTCTTAGTCAGCTTGGGCTGACTATAGGCTTAAACAACAGACACTTATTTCTCACCGTTCTGGAGGCCTGGGAAGTCCAAGATCAAAGTGCCAGCTGTTTCCGTTTCTGGTGAGGGCTCTCTTCCTGGCTTGTAGATTTTGAGCTTCTTGCTGCATGCCTTTCCTGGGTGTGCAGGTGTGGGAGGAGAAAGGGAAAGCATGATCTTGATCAGAGAGAAAGAGCGCGATCAGCTCATTCTTTGCCCTTAAGTCTCACTCAGGTTCTGATGAAGTGGACAATATAATTGTAATTGGGATTATGGGTACTATTTCCTTATGCGCATCTGAAATAATAAATTATGCATTTATATGTGGACTTAGATTCTTTGGCTGTTTCCAGACAACAAGAACGTTTCATCTTTTGTGACATACTCCCAAAAGGTATGACAATAAAATCTTCACTTTTATATCTCTGAGAAGATGAGATGTTTTTACAATTGTTATCACAATTCTCTATCCTAGGAAATGGGCTTTCTAAGATCTCACTGTGTGTTGTGCTTTATCCAACATGCAGCCAGATGACCCATGGCCTTAGAGATATGGCAGTATGCTGGTTTCATCCCCTGTTCTGCAAGCTAAGCATCAACAGCTATGACATATATTTGCACATTCGTGTTTCAACTCAGGCCCCAAAGCATCATTGCAGAATTCACACATTATTAATTTCCTAAAGTCTAAACATGTAACAAATTCCAATGAGAGAAATAGTGCAGGTACCCATGGAAAGATACAGGCCGTCATGACGCAGACAGGGATGCACGACCAACACTCAATAGCTAAAGTAGCCAGAATTCTCAGAAAACCTGCATACAACTAAGAACTGCCTTTCCTCATAACTCTGTCAGCCCTTTGAGAGACAAACTGCCTCTTTGCAGCTGATCAGTGCACCCAAGGACAAACAGAGACCATCTGGAGGTTTTTTTTGTTTTGTTTTGTTTTGTTTTTTGAGATGGAGTTTCACTCTTGTTGCCCAGGCCAGAGTGCAACGGCGTGATCTCAGCTCACCGCAACCTCTATCTCCTGGGTTCGAGAGATTCTCCTGCCTCAGCCTCCCTAGCAGCTGCGATTACAGGCGCATGCCACCACACCCAGCTAATTTTGTATTTTTAGTAAAAACAGGGTTTCTCCTTGTTGGTCAGGCTGGTCTGGAACTCCTGACCTCAGGTGATCTACCCGCCTCGGCCTCCCAAAGTGCTGGGATTACAGGCATCAGCCACTGTGCCCGGCCAGGTTTTGTTTTTGTATACTCTGCCTTTACCTTTGTCCAAGGAGACGATCTATGCAATCCTTGTCTTCTCCATACACAAGTAAATCTTCAGCTGTACTCTAAATATCTGAGTTACTGTCCTCCTCATAATGTTGCTATTGTAATAGCATAAAAAACACTTTGGAACAGAATCGATTTCACCACTAGTAAAACACTTGCATTCCTTTACTTCAGCAACCTTCACAAATAGTCTTCAAAGTGCACATTATGGCTCAACTGAATCTTCTGGTAGAAAATCCCGTTATAAGAGACAGCTGGGCCTGAGGCTTCAATTAACCCCATTTCACCAAACTCACTGGGTAAGGGAGCTATAGGAACTACCAAGTGGTGGTTTTTGCTTGGATCACACAACTATCATCTGCATGAACCACTCTCATATTTTTTTTATTGCTGTGACAGTTAACCTGAACGATACAACTCCAGCAAAAACCCTGCAACACTGGGCCAGACAGCCACAGGCCCACATAATACACACGGTGGTACAAATCAACACCATCCATTTCAAAATACTGAGGATTGAGAAGAGGTTGACTCATCCCACAGGTGTTGAATGTCTGTCGTTATGGTCCACCAGCCTTACTAAGGGCTCCTATTCTATCTAGATTTACCATCCAGATTTAGTTTTAAAAGTCCCTAACCCTAAAGTACCTCATTGATCTCTCCCAAATCCTCACCGCTAAGGGAACACAAAGTTCTCACCAAAAGTTTCCAGTGACTTCACCTTCCTGGACTGTAACAGGGATACTTGGGGGGCCAACCTCTGTTTCTCTTGGATGATCGCAGGTTTTAATGTCCAAGTGACAGGCCCTGGAAAGTGCTGGGCCCTCCAAAATTCTTCTGTGGGCTGACCACACCTCGGGATTTGACCTGTGGGGCAGGGAGACACTATGTTGCAACTGTAGGTGCGAGACAACGGCCCTGGGCCTATGTGCATCTGGGCTGGGGGACCCTGGCACATGAGCACTGACAGCAACCTGCTGCTGCTTTTTACCAGAGCAGTTGACACACCTTGCTTGTGTGTTCTGTTTTTAACCATTCTGAACTGAATGAAATTTAAGAATTTTTTAATAGCCACCGTCATCCTTGTTTAAATTAGTTTTAGGAAGTAGCTTTATAGTTTTACAGGATTTTTTTTTTAGACTCAGAGGAAGTCAAGCATCAAAGCATTTTTTTTTTTTAAGACTAACAGGATTTCAGATACATAATGAGAAAGTCACTTTATTTTCTGGCTAAAATTTTCAGACAGTTTAAAGGAAAACTTTTCATTTTGTGGGTTAGTTACATTGGAAACTGAGGCTTGGGAGGTTATCAGGTCTCCAGGGTCTTTTATTTTATTTGTTTGCTTCTACACAGAGATTAGTCATAGGAAGAAACTTAATTATTATTATTTTTTTTTTTTTGAGATGGAGTCTTGCTCTGTCGCCCAGGCTGGAGTGCAGTGGTGCAATCTCGGCTCACTGCAAGCTCCGCCTCCTTGGGTTCATGCCATTCTCCTTCCTCAGCCTCCCGAGTAGCTGGGATTACAGGCATCTGCCACCATACCCAGCTAATTTTTTGTATTTTTAGTAGAGACGGGGTTTCACCGTGTTAGTCAGGATGGTCTCGATCTCCTGGCCTCGTGATCCACCCACCTCGGCCTCCCAAAGTGGAAACTTAATTTTTTAAACAATTTTTCATCTTGCTAAGATGCGTAGTCTTGTTACATTACATCTGGGGCCAAAGTAGACAGTCCAAGGCATGTAGGCTGCACTGCTCCCCAAGAAGACTTGGGTGCCCCATTCTTTCTTCCTGCTCCACCTTACCCTATAGTGTTGTCCTCATGCAAATGATTAAATCCGGCTCACCACTTCCCTTCAAACCGTCCAGCCCAAAGAAAGGGGGACAGAGAAAGAATGGATAGTTTTTCCTAAGGACTTGACTTGGAAGTTGAACGCATTGTTTTTGCAAACATCTCATTACCCAGAAGTTAGTCATATGGCCTTACCCAGATGCAAAGGATTGCAGGAGATATCATATCTGTCTGTGAGGTCATGTGCTCAGCTAAAATGTAGAGGGTTTTATTGGTGAAATGAGGAAGTGAAAAATGGATATTGAAAGATTAGTGGTCTCTGCCACAATGACATTTGTTTCATGGATGATTGGTGGATCATGGCTAGTGGTTAACTTGGTGATTGGGAGTGCTTAGGGGAAGGGGTATGATTAGTTTTGGGGGAATTGATTACTTTGGAGGATGTAATGGTTTCTAGGGGTTTAATTAGGTTTAGGGCTGTGTGTTAGTCCATTTTGCATTGCCATAAAGGAATATCTGAGACTGGGTAATCTATTTTCAAAAAGAGATTTATTTGCCTTGTGGTTCTACAGGCTGTACAAGTTTGGTACCAGCATCTGCTCAGCTTCTGGTGAGGCCTCAGGAAGTTTCCACTCATGGCAGAAGACAAAGGGGGACAGGCGTGTCACCTGGCAGGACAGGGAGTGAGAGAGAGGGGATGGAGGTGTCAGGCTCTTTAAACCAGCTCTCACGTGAACTGACACAGTGAGAACTCACTCATTACCATGGGGATGGCATGAAGCCGTTCATAAGGGATCTGCCCCTATGACCCAAACACCTCCCACTAGGCCCCACCTCCAACATTGGTGATCACATTTCAACCTGGGATTTGGAAAGGACAAAACATCCAAACCATATCAGGCTGATTAGGCTTGAGGAAGGGAAAACTGTTGAGTCTGGATTGAAAGTCATTGTATTAATAGGTAGTGAGGCTGATTACATGATTATATGAGGATTTTAATAATATATATAACTCCTGGATTAATACCAAAATACAACAGAAAGGGTTCAGATATAGTAAGTTTGGTGATTCTGAGATATGACTTTTTGCTTTGCCAAATACTAAAACTTCTATGTAGAAATTAGTTAAGTATAACCAATGAGTTTTGTTTTTTTTTTAATAAAAGTGTCCAATTCTCCTCCTTCTCCTTGTGCACTGTACTGCAGGGCCAATATTCATTCCATTTAAGGCCCATTTGGTCTCCTGGAAAGCTGGCCACAAATAGCTTTCAATAACACCTCTGGGCATACACCAAAGAAGTAAATCTGACTCTAAGTAAAATCTTGTAGCTTGCCAATATTTTCACCAGTTAGGAATTATAGGAATTCAGCCATAGAATTTGAACATAAATTGAAGTCTCCTTTTAGCCATTTTTTGTTTTTAGTAGAGACCAAGATCCCATTCATTGCCAAACGTTTTCATAGGCATGAATGCTTGTGTTTGATCCAGGAATAATAAATGATTGACTGTTACCCAGCAGCAGGGTGGGGTGGGATTCCTGGCACTTTTTTTTTTTTTAAGCAAAGGAAAAACAACTGAGCAGACATTTGCTCTTTCAACAGCGTTTTGTGAAAATGTAAATTAAAGAGACTAGTCTTTTTAAAATTATTTCCATAATCACAAATACGACTGTGGAAAGTCAAGACAATGCTGTTTTAAGTCAATATAAGTTATCTGACCTAGACGTCGCCATTAGGACTGTCAACTAACAAGGCATCTGTAGTTTGCTAACTTTTTTATCTTAATGAATTCTGAATTCAAATGTTTTCTTTTTAAATATAAATATTTGCTTTCGCTAAAGGTAAGTTGAAATTCTTGAGTGTTGACTTGAGTACGTACAGAAAAGATCAGTTTCACTGCCAGTAGCTGGGAAATCCATGGTTGGAATTCAAAAACAGCCAATGTATTATACATCATTACATTTCATTGTACACATTCCTATAATATAGAATAAAATTTAAAATTATTTTTGAATAAAACCTTGATTATAGGAATCACAAGAGAAAAGTTTGCCTCATTTAAGAAGTGCTCTAAACTAATAGCTCTCAAACATTTTGCCCTGCAGGTTAGCAAAAATGAAAAGACTAATCAGACCTAATATTGCTAAGTGTAGAAGAAAATAAGTAGAGTCATGCGTTGTTTAGACTGAGATGCATTCTGAGAAATGCGTCATTAGACGATTTCATCATTGTGGGAACATCACAGACTGGACTTGCACGAACCTAGCCTAATATATACCTAAGCTATATGGCATGGCCTATGGCTGCTAAGCTAGAAACCTGTCCAGTGTGTTACTGTACTGGACACTGTAGGCAATTGTAACACAATGGTAAGTATTTGTGTATCTAAACATAGAAAAGGTACAGTAAAAATATGGAATCATAAACTATGGACCATTGTCATATATGCAGACCACACATCATTGACCAAAACATACATACTGACCAAAATATCATTGTGCAGTGCATGACTATACACTTATACTTGGTGCTAATGTAAACTGGGCCAATTTTTAAAATATAATGCTATAATGTTAGATAGATATATAAGAAAAGTAGACTGAATAAGGAAAACTCAATCATATCCCAAGAAAGAAAACTAAGAGCCTAAAGGCCAAATAGTCCTCGGTTTTACAAGTTGAATCACCATGCATTTAATATTTTTTTAAATTTTTTATTATTTATTTATGTATTTATTTGTTTGTTTGTTTGTTTGTTTTCAGATAGAGTCTCACTCTGTCTCTCAAGCTGGAGTGCAATGGCGCGATCTCAGCTCACTGCAACCTCTGCCACGCAGGTTCAAGTGATTCTCCTGCCTCAGCCTCCCAGGTGGCTGGGATTACAGGCACTCGCCATCACGCCTGGCTAATTTTTTGTATTTTTGTAGAGATGAGGTTTCACCATGTTGGTCAGGCTGGTCTTGAACTCCTGACTTCAGGTGATCTGCCTGCCTCGGCCTCCCAAAGTGCTGGGATTACAGGCATAAGTCACCGTGCCTGGCTACCATGCATTTAATATGAACTTGCCAGATTCAGCAAATAAGAATACAGGTTGCTCAAATTTAATTTCAATTTCAGATAAACAATACTTTTTTTTTTGAGGCGGAATCTCGCTCTGTCACCCAGGCTGGAGTGCGGTGGCACGATCTTGGCTCACTGCAACCTCTGCTTCCCAGGTTCAAGTGATTCTCCTGCCTCAGCCTCCCGAGTACCTGGGACTACAGGCGCCCACCACCATGCCCAGCTAATTTTTGTAATTTTAGTAGAGACGGGGTTTCACCATATTGGCCAGGCTGATCTCAAATTCCTGACCTTGTAATCCACCCACCTCGGCCTCCCAAAGTGCTAGGATTACAAGAGTGAGCCACCGCTCCCGGCCAAACAATACTTTTTTTAGTATAAGCATGTCTATATACTTTGTGTCATAGCTATAGTTTAAAAAGTATTCATTGTTTATCTGAAATTCAGATTTTACTAAGCATCCTGTGTTTTATCTGGCAACTCTAATTTAACATAAAACAATAATGATTACAAGATAGGAAAGTTTTATCTTAGATTGTTGGTAAAATTCCTGCCCCAAATCTCTTCTTTCACATCCTTTACCCAGGGTATGATTTTCCAACTGTTGTCCTAGAAATTCCCTGGCTAATCTTGTTATTTTATCCTTATCCTTAGATCCATCTTACAATGTCCTCCAGTATCTCTTACTCATTTTTTTTCTTTCTTTTTCAGTCATAATTCTTTTCATTTTCAAGTTGCTGTTAATAGTTCCACGTACATTCAAGAGACAATCCTCTTACCCATCTCAAAACTAGGCATTACTCAATTTTCCTGGAGGAGGGTAAGAAGAAGCCAAATCCAGAACAGAGAGTACAAATAATTAACAGGCTTAATCTTTGGAGTGTCTCAACTGCAAAGGAGTAATTGTTTTCCTACCTACTCTTGTTGCTTTTACAGGTGAGCAGACAGGCTGGAACAGACAGGCAAGGAAAAGACTGTTGAAAAGATTGTTCCAAGAACATGAAATTTAACTGCAGTCCGATTTGTACAAATTCCATTTATCTTGGTTTCGAACTACCCCTCTCTACCACTCGGATCTTTGGAAGCTTAAATGGCTAGTTACAATTAAAAAAAAAATACAATCAAATGAAAAAACTCTACAGGAATTTAGACACTGACTTGAGAGTTAATTACACTACAGACTTATTGTGAAATGTTTGGGGGCCTAAGAATGGTATTGTGGTTATGTTTTTAATAAGAGCCTTTATCTTTTAGATACATCCTGAAATATTTGCAAATTAAACAATACTCCTGGAATTAGCTTGATAAGGTAGGGGATGAGTGGATGGAAGTACAGATAAAGCGAGTTTGTTGAAGCTGGAGAACAGGTACCCGGGAGCCCATTATACTATTCTCTGTGTTTTTATGTGTCTTTGAGATTTTAAGAATTTTACTTTAAGAATAATAAGAATTCTTAAAGTAAAAATTATTATATGCATACGATGCAATGTTATTCAGCCTTGAAAGGTAGAAAATTCTGACACATGCTACAACATGGACGAACCTTGAGGACTTTATGCTAAGCGAAATAAGCCAGTCACAAAACAGCAAATACTGTATGATTCCACTTATATGAGGTACCTAGAGTTTTCAAACTCATAGAAACAGAAAGTAGAATGGTGGTTACCAGGGGCTAGGGGGAGGGGGAAGTGGGGAAGTATTACAGTATTTGGTTGGTACAGAGTTTCACTTTGGAAAGATGAAAAAAGCCCTGGAGATAGGTAGTGGTGATGGCTGCACAACAGCGTGAATGGACTTAATGCCACTGAACTATACACTGAAAGATGGTTAAGATGGTAAATGCTGCATTATGTATATTTTACCATGGTAAAAAAAGAAATGAATTTCATTTTATAAATAAAAAGTACTACTTTTATTACGGATAGCACAAATGAAAATGAAAAATAGCAATAAAATCTGAATACAGAGGATTAGAAACTAACTTTTACTCTTGAAGAAAAAGTACATATTCTTTTCAAAAATTAAAAAAAAAAGTCTATCCTCTTAGTCTTCCCCAATGGCAATTTTTTTTTATTATTTTTTATTTTTTATTTTTATACTTTAAGTTTTAGGGTACATGTGCACATTAATGGCAATTTTAAGCTTTCTATTTTTTTTCTTTTTTAAGACGTAGTCTTACTCTGTCACCCAGGCTGGAAGTACTGGCATGATCATGGATCATTACAGCCTCCACCTCCTGGGCTCAAGTGATCCTCCCACCTTAGCCTCCCACATAGCTAGGACTACAGGCGTACACCACCAAACCCAGCTGATTTTTTTTTTTTTTTTTTTTTTTTTTTTTTTGCTAGAGACAAGGTCTTCCTATGTTGCCCAGGCTGGTTTTGAACTCCAGGCCTCAAGCAATCCTCCTGCCTTGGCCTCCCAAAGTGCTGGGATTATAGGCATGAGCCACTGCATCCCATCTTTGTTTCCTTTTAAATGTGTTTTATCTTTGATTTTACATAATAAAAAGAAAATAGAAAAATGAATAAATATTTTCATACAAAATACAGCAAGCACTACCATCAGTAGTGCTTGAACAGTTCAAGTATGACAATTTCTGTAAGCCCACATGTCCCCCTGTCCCTAAGAACCAGATCACAAAATCCCGGGCTGTGATTTCAGCAGGGCACCCTCCGCAGCACATCCCAGCTGGTTTTCTACACTCATCTGGCATCCTAGGGACCACTGCATGTAATTCCAGCCCCTTTGGCCAAATCCCAGGAGCTTTCCCACAGAAAACAAAAACGCACATAAATTGACAAAGCAGCCACCCTTTAGCAATTCTAAGACAATCTAGGCTCAAAGTGCCCTAGGTGGGTTCATAAAGATTAGATATGTCATGTTTGCGTTCACTGTTTTTTCTTTTCTATTGCCTTGAAAAATAACAGGCAATACTCGGTTACTTCTAAAATGTCAAACCCCACGGAAGTAATCTAATTCTTGCACTGTTTCCCATGCACCCACCCACCACATAGATCTCTAACCCAAAGCAAGCACCATGAGCAAAGAACTGAGGATTCTGTGGGTCCTCTGACCTGGGCCTCCCAGGATACCAATCTTCCAGGGAACTCACCCGTATATAGTGACCTGGCCATACTGAGAGCCAACCCCTTCTGCGTTCATATATCTAAGGCAAATTATCTGGTCAATGAGCTACACACAGCAGTAAATGTAGCCGGTAAGACCCTGACTCGATGGGGTTGTAGCCAAGAGGAGAAGGTGACACTGAATAGGTAACTAACTGTCAGTGTGATGAGTCCCATGAAGGAGTGTATAGATCACTTTAGAAGCTTAGCATAGGCTACGTACTCTAGCCTGGGGTGGCAGTGGTCAGGGAAGCCTTCTCCGACAAGAAGCAGAATAAGGGGATCAAAGTTACAGCTCATTGTGGAGAGGAATCTTCCAGTGAAATGGCCTGACTCAGAAGGTGTCTAGACAGAAGACAGAGCACATGTGGGGGATGCTAGGGAGGACATTTCCTGCCCTAGGTGGGTTGGAAGGATGTAGAGGAGCAAAGTCATCAAGAGCACAGGTTCAGGGAACAAACAGCCCTTAGGTCCCTTTCACCTTCGTCACTTACTAGCCACAGAAACAGACAAGTTGCTAGACCTCAACATTATGCACAGTTTTAAACATACACAAAAATAGAATAATTTTACTAACAACCATGTTCTATTCATCACTCAGCCTCAGCAATGACCAACCCATAGCCAACCTTCTTCCATTTATAACCTTATCCAACTTCTCCAACTCCATCATTAATCTGAGGCAAATGGCAGACACTGCATCATTATACCCATAAATATTTTATTATACCCATTAAAAAGGTATCTCTAGAAGATGACTTCTTTTAACATATTGCACAATACTATTATCATGTGTAAAATGTTAGTAGTGTCTTATTATCATCAAATATCTAGTCATTTCTAAATTTGAAAATTATAATTGTCTCATAATGTCCTAATGTTTTTCTCTCTCTCTCTCTTAATGGTATCTTTGTTTGAATTAAGATCTAAATAAGGTCCTCTCATTGCATTTGGTGCTTTGCCTCTTTAAGCCTTAATTTCCTCATCTAACTGAAACCCCTTACCATATCCTTAATTTCAGAAGGGCAAAGCTTTAACCATAACTGGAGAAGAGTGTCTGTCTGAGGATTAGCCAGGTAGTCACTTGCAAGAAATTCAAGGATTCTTTCCTTGGGTTCCAGTTGCCTGTTGCAATGTCCATAGCATCCACCATAGAGGAAGGATTAGGGGTGGGTCCTGTGCCCTATTCAGGTTGCCCCTCATGTTCCTCAAAGGTCTTGGCAACCTTTGTTCTCAACCCTGGCTGCTGCCCAAGCAGTTGCCCCTCTTTCAGTCTACCTGGGATCCTCTTTAGTCTTCTTCCTTCACTACCAAGCTCCAGCCCTAAGCCTCGTGGGCTCTTTAAACTCTCCCTCCGACTCACCTTTTCCTACTGGGGACTTCTCCTTCTCCCTTGCATGTGTCCATGGTGGCCAGTCACTGGGTTCCATCTTGTTTTCTCCTGAATGGAGATGATTTCAAATGGGTGAACACAAAGGAGGAGATGAAAGAAAACAACCTAAGCCTCAAGCACCCAGAGACAGTCAGACTTTTAGCACAGCTCCAGTGATTGCCTCGTAGTACATCACTTAGATTTACGTTATTATGCCCCCAGCATCTCTGTCTCTCTCTGAGCTTTGAGTTGTCTTACAGAAGGCAAACTTTTGTTATCCCAGCTTCGTGTGAATCTCACTCATCCCAAAAGCAGGAGTTGGTGTGCGTCAGGCCTTACGAAAGGGAAATTCTGCCATATAACAATGAATTTAATAACTCCAACTACACAGGTAGATATTGGGTGGAATTCATGAACAAAATGGTGAACAAAATGAGTAAAAGGCATCAATCCTGACACTTGTGAATTTTCACTAAATATAACTATAAAACAAGTATTATTATCAGGTGATCGCTGAGGTCTCTCCCATCTAACTACCAACCCTAAGGCACGAAGGAGTCGGGACTGGGCTCACATGTCGTGGACGCTGGAAGACCCACCTCCTAGGGGACCCTGGACACGATGCCCAAAGGGGCTGTGAACTTTGCTCCCCTTCAGTTTCTTTCCTGGACTAACTGTGCTCTTCAGGAAGCAGGACATCCTGGAACTTTGGGGCGGACACTTCACATTCCAAACTTTGAACTGTGTCTGTGATCAGCCCTTTGGCTGGCATAACCACTGAATCTTTTCACCAGCCCCAAGCGGGAGACAGGGCAGGATGCTTGTCCACATTTTGCAGGTGAGAAATCTTGGGCTTAGAGAAAGCATGGCATTCCCTCTGCTCAAAGTGGGAGGGAAGGCAAACCAGGACCACAGTCCCAAATCCCAGGCCAAATCTAGTTCTATTTTCCTGTTTCTTTTTCATTGCCTTCAATCCAAATGCTGGATTTTTTTCAGAATACTAAATAATACATGCCCATGATAGGAAGATTGGACAAAAATATAAGAAGGAATTCCATCCCCTGTGGTTAATAGCTCTAAACATTTTGAAGTCATTTCCTTCTGTCTGGTCATTTTTTATACATGCATATTTTTATGTAATTGAGATCATATTGTATGTGCACATTTATATCTTATGATTCACTTAATTTCATATCATAACTATACCTACTATGTTACAAAAAACTTGTTGACATCATTTTAATGTGTGAATAATTTTCCATTTTATCAATATGCCATAATTTTTTTTGTTTGTTTTTTCTGAGATGAGTCTTGCTCTGTCGCCCAGGCTGGAGTACAGTGGTGCAATCTCGGCTCACTGAAACCTCTGCTTCCTGGGTTAAAGCAATTCTCCTGCCTCAGCCTCCCGAGTAGCTGAGACTACAGGCGCACTCTGCCATGCCTGGCTAATTTTTTTGTATTTTAGCAGAGATGGGGTTTCACCGTGTTGCCCAGGCTGGTTGCGAACTCCTGAGCTCAGGCAATCCGCCCCCCTCGGCCTCCCAAAGTGCTGGGATTACAGGCGTGAGCCACTGTGCCTGTCCTATGCTATAATTATTGAATCTACTATTTATTGGTGGTTACTTTGTTTCCAATGTTTGTTTTACAAATAATGACGAGATGAACATCTTTGTTGAGAAAATGATCCAGTCTTTGATTATTTCCTTAGGATTGAATTCTAGAAAGAGACTGCTGGCTCAACAGGTATCTGCACCACAAAGCTCTTACCTGTGGATCCTCAAGGAAAGTGCTGTCATGTTGATACAGCTGTCATTCAGAAACAAAGTGACTTCTAAATAAGCTAAGTAAATTCAATAGAAAATCATATTCTTTAACTTTTCAAATTATACTTTCTGTATTTTGAAATGTATTGGTCTAATGTCTGATAGTTTCAGTAGATGTAGAATGTAGTAAATATTCCAGATGAAATGTAGTGAAGATATTAGGAGATCATGCTAAATTTCTAGGTGCCATTAGAATAAGTTAAATGGCTTCTACTGTATCTAAGCTGACCAGGCAGCAGAGATCCACAAGGATGGATCTCATAGCAACTTTGCCAGCCCTAACCCATCCTTCTTAAGTTCAGACTTGAATAACCACCTGCCTATCTGACATCTGAACTTCGATGTGTCATAGACTTTTCCAATTTAATTAATACTAATCCAAAACATTTACTCTTGGTTTCTCAAGTCTCCTCTTCTAACGTATTCCTTCCCAATTCTTCTCATGTAAGTAAATAAAAGCATCGCCACTCACCTGGCTGCTCAGGACAAAACTCTGTGGAGCATTCTACATTCCCCCATCTTCTACATTTAACGCATCAGGTAGTCCTTTAAAATATATCCAAATTGGGCCGGGCACGGTGGCTCACACCTGTAATCCCAGCGCTTTGGGAGGCCGAGGTGGGCGGATCACCTGAGGTTGGGAGTTCGAGACCAGCCTGACCAACATGAAGAAACCCCATCTCTACTAAAAAAATACAAAATTAGCCGAGCGTAGTGGCACACACCTGTAATCCCAGCTACTCGGGAGGCTGAGGCAGGAGAATTGCTTGAATCCAGGAGGCGGAGGTTGCGGTGAGCTGAGATCGTGCCATTGCACTCCAGCCTGGGCAACAAGAGCAAAACTCCATCTCAAATATATATATCTCCAAATTGAACTCATTCAGTTGGTGTACCTGCTTCCCTGCAGGCCAGACTTCACATTTCATGGCATGTCTCTCCCCAGCTCAAAACCCTCCAATAGTGTCCCATCACACTTGAGAATCAAATCCAAACTCCCATATAATCTGCATCCTGTCCACCTCTGGAAATTATCTCCCACCCACTCGTCCCACCTTCCCTTCCCTCCAGCCACACTGATATCACTGCTGATTCTCAAACAGCCAAGCTCCTTTCTGCCACAAGACTTGGAACGTGCTTCCTCCAGTTGGTCACACAGTGGCGATCCTTCACGTTGCCCAAGTCTCTGCATGAGGGTGCCTTCTCATGTCCCTAAGATTGACATCCTCCCATTGCTTCCCAGCTCCCACTGCTTTATTCTTCCCCATAACACTCATTACCCCCTGACAATCTATTTATTTATTTGTTTATTGACTAACGCCCCATTAGAATGTTCATTTCATGGGGGAAGGGGCTCCATCTGCCGTGTTTGTACCTAACACACAGTGCCCAGCAGCACAGAGCACAGTTCAGTGCTTAACACATAATCATGCTCAATAAATATTTTGTGAATAAATGAATGAGGTAGAAAGCCTTCACTATGAAGAATGTACATTACATTCACTTTGGCTTATCACAGAGAAGGACAATGAAAAGGTCATTCTCTGCTACTTGAACTACCATTAAGGGGAAGTAAACTATAAGGGCCTTGTAAAGCATAAGTCTCTAGACAAATGGAAATTATTATCATTACATTAATGTGGTGGCATGCTAGATGCTCTCTGCTCTGTAAAAATGGACAGGACCAGGCCAGGCGTGGTGGCTCACACCTGTAATTCAGCACTTTGGGAGGCCGAGGCAGGAGGATCATGAGGTCAAGAGATCGAGACCATCCTGGCCAACATGGTGAAACCCTGTCTCTACTAAAAATACAAAAATTAGCCAGGCGTGGTGGCGCATACTTGTAGTCCCAGCTACTTTGGGAGGCTGAGGCAGGAGAATCACTTGAACCCTGGAGGTGGAGGTTGCAGTGAGCCAAAATCATGCCACTGCACTCCAGCTTGGCAACAGAGGGAGACTCCATCTCAAACAAAAAAAAAAAAGAAAAAGGACAGGACCCAGTCCCTGCTCACACGGATAAAGACATCAGACAGTTAAGTTGCTCACAGAAGGCTTTTACTAAGAGAAATAGTTTGCTGTAGGTACACTAAATTTCTGAGAATATTGGAGGATTATTTAAAGAGAGCATTTAGAAAGGTCATCATTGCCATTTTGAGAATAGAACTTTGAAAATTAGTTTTGTTTTTAAATGCAAATAGAAAATTCATGTCTATCAAAAAGTAGCTATATGTGTCAAAAATGAATAGTCAATAAAGTTTAAGTTACCATAAGCACGTGGATCACATTACTGGTTTCTCTGATTTGAACCATGAAATTATCTAGTTGCTGTAAATACACAAAAATGGCATCTAGTAGACACTCGAATGAACTACTAATCCTTGGAAGGTCAATTCAGACAACCAGGTGTCATCTCATCCATATTACCAGACTTCTAGATCTTATAGCCAGTGTAAATTTTAATGGAATTATATAGGATTGCCAAGATTTTATGTTGTCTAATTAGGGTGTTAAACAACAATAGCTAATACCACCTACTACTAAAAAAAGACATTATAACACCTCCTGAAATAGAAAGAACATAATCTTGGAATAAAGAGAATGTACTTCAAATTGCAAATATTTAGTTTTATTTTTAAAATGTACTACATTGCCTTTTTTTCTCTCTCTCTCTCTTTTTTTTTTTTTTTTTTTTTTTGAGACAGGGTCTTGCTTTGTTACCCAGGCTGGAGTGCAGTAGCACAATCACAGCTCACTGCAGCCTCGACCTCCTGGGCTCAATTGATTCTCCTCCTCAGCCTTCCAAGTAGCTGGGACCACACACGTGTGCACCATCATGCCTGGCTAATTTTTAAATTATTTGTAGAGACAGGGTCTCCCTGTGTCGCCCGGGCTGGTAACTCCCGGGCTCAAGAGATCCTTCCACCTCAGCCTCCCAAAGTGCTGGGATTACAAGCATGAGCCACCGTGCCTGGCTGAGACCTGGAAAATGTTATAGACAGGTAGGTACCAATACATAGGCTGGTATATGGGAACTGCTGCTCAGTTAATGACTCCTTCTGCATCCTTTGATTAAATATTCCCAGCAGTGGAGAGTTGCTATCAAAAAGCTACCTCCATCCAGTTCTGATGGGTAGGAGGTTTCTCTTTAATTTAGGGTAAAGTTGGCAGCCTCCACCTTTGGGTTCTGGTTTTGGCCTAGAGCCCTCTGTGAGGAAGGCTAAATCTTTTTTACTTAGATGTGTGAAAGCAGCTCTCAAACCCAATCCCAACTCCTGTAAGTTCTTCCTAGACTGAATCCCCAGCTCCTTCAGCCAGTTCCTAAACCATTCACTGGCAGAGCAATAAGGTACGTTCCAGCCTTTGAGTGGTCTGGTTCCTACAAACTAAAGACCACAGGCATAGAGGCCAGGCGCAGTGGCTCCGACCTGTAATCCCAGCACTTCAGGAGGCCAAGGCAGGTGGATCACTTGAGCTCAGGAGTTCCAGAGCAGCCTAGGCAACACGGCAAAATTCCGTCTCTAGAAAAAATACAAAACTTAGCTGGGCGCAGTGCTGCATGCCTGTAGTCCCAGCTACTCAGGAGGCTGAGGCGAGAGGATCATTTGAGCCCAGGAGGCAGAGGTTGCAGTGAGCCGAGATTTCACCACTGCATTCCAGCCTGGGCGACGGGAGTGAAACCCTGTCTCGAAAAGAAAAGAAAAGGTCATAGTCATTTGTGAAAAGACCTTTGAGTATTAAAAATCTGAAAACTTCTTTTACCAACTTAGAGGAGTATAAAAGCTTATTCATCAGCCTTCTTGGCAGATGGGAAGACAGGCATGCATGAAACCACAGCCTCTTCTATTCCAAATGTATCATCCATTATCACTAGATGCAGCTGCCTCCCCCACACTCTCTGAGTCACTGGGTAATGCTACAGTCTTTCATTTTCACCTCCATTACAAACCTTTCAAGGATTCTTGCTAGTAGCTTTTGCTTTCACTAGGAACTTCCCAAAGGCAAAATTACAACAAATTATTTGTAATGATCAAATTGGCTTTTATTTGTGATTCTAGAATCAGGCAACACCTCATTCTACGAAATAGAATGAGTATTCCAGTGAAGTGGGCAGAGAAGTTTGGCTTTATGGATAAAAGAGGGCTGAAGAAAGCAGAAACAGGGAACAAAAAGCAGATTGGTCATTTCAAAGTTGCTTTCCTTATAGGGTTAAAGCAGAGGGCACTTTTTATTGTGCTGATTCAGGGTGACTGGAAGCTCCTGCGTTTTTGGAAAACTGCCTCATTTCAAAGTCCGGTTTGATGACTTGGCAGTTAGCACAGGTGACTCTGCTCTGGTTTGATCTGCTCTGCTAGGGCCAGTGTAGGAGGCTAGTCCAAAACAATGGCCTCCCATAAACTATGTAACAGAATACAATGCACTGGTGTGCTGTTTAATTTGTTTCAGTTATGAGTGATAGAAAACCACATATCAATAGTGGTTTAAATAAGACTGTTTTGCTTTGGTATAAAAGCCTGGAAGAAGGCAGTATAGGACTGATATGGGCTCCCACAGTATCAGGAACCCAGGCCCCTTTTATCTTATTGTTCCCCCAAATGGGGCTTCTACTCCCAAGGCCACTCTGGTCCAATCTGACTTCTGTAGCTCCAGCCATTATATCTACATTCTGGCCAGATAAAGGAGAAAAAACAAAGAAGAGTATTCCGCCTCTATTTAAGGACATTTCCCAGAAGTCACACACCACTTCTACTGGCCATTCCTAGTTCCAAGAGGGACTGTGTTGATGTTATTGTTGTTTTTCTAATAAGGAAAAAGAGGAAAACTGAGGTTAGGAGACAAGTAGACCCCTGTGCACAGGGTCAGACATAAAGTCAAATGATCACCGATGCAGCTCTGGTGCGGCCTCTCTGAAAAATCACCAAACTTAACACCAAATCCTAAGGACTCCATACCTCAAACCCCTTAAAATGAGATCAATGAAAATGAGCGGTGGCCAAAATTGGGACCCAGGAGAATGTATCCAGTAGGATCACGATCAGTCAAGCAAATAGGTTTTACTTGGGTTTCCTGGATTTGTGTTGTGTTTTGTTTTGCTTTGTTTGAGATGGAGTCTCCCTCTGTTGCCCAGGCTGGAGTGCAGTGGCACAATCTCGGCTCACTGCAACCTCCATCTCCCGGGTTCAAGTGATTCTCCTGCCTCAGCCTCCCGAGTAGCTGGGACTACAGGCGCGCACCACCACGCCCAGCTAATTTTTATATTTTTAGTACAGATGGGGTTTCACCATGCTGGCCAGGATGGTCTTGATCTCTTGACCTCATGATCCACCTGCCTCAGCCTCCCAAAGTGCTGGGAATACAGGCACGAGCCACCGTGCCCGGCCAGATTTGTGTTTTTATGCAGGAATTCCTTCCCAGCATTTCTCGGAAATACTGTTTTTCCAAATGCCAATTCCTGAGAAAAAGAAGTTAAGACATCTAGGAACCTGGTAAGAGTGTTTTTGTGTGAGAATTAAAGCTTAGCAATCAACATGTTGAACTAGATGTGACTAGTTCAAAGGAATCCACTGACACCAAATCAAAAGCGAGAGTAGAAAATACTGAGGCACCCATAGGAAAGTTAAGTTCTGAATGGAACTGGGGAGTAGAGGAGAGAAAAGGCCATCATCTAATCAGTCTTCCGACTGCTGTTGCCAGGGTAGAGGTGGTGGTGGGCTAGCGCTGGCTCAAGAAGAGCCAGTTGTATGCTGCTCTTCCCAGCTCTCAGTGACATCCCCTCGGTAGCTGGGCATTGACCATTGTGGGAACATTTATGCCTCCCCTCAGAATTTGGCAAACCCTACATATAAGGGTTTTTTTTTTTTTCTCCAGGAGAGTCAGTTTACCAGCACACACTGGTTATAAGTGTGTGTTTGTGACCTGGTCTGCTTCTAATGGTAAGTCATTTTTGCAAATAAAACAAATATTGGTAAGTTTGTACACATAGGATACTTATACAAGTCCTATGAGCAGTGTCGGAAAAAAATAACAAATTTTGAAAGCAAAATAAGTCTTGAAACTGGCAATTCCAACAAGTGATTCTATGAACCTTGTTAGTGAGTCTGAATGTTAGTTATTTGAACACTTCCCAGTAATGATTGCTGGCATTTCCACGTGTTGAATATTCATTATAGGCTACAGTTCTTTGTAAATACTTTAACAGAAGAGATGCAAAAAGAAGACGTGATTGCTGTTATAGAACACTCCAGAAGGAAATCAGAAATTGCTCTAAAATCTGAATTAGCAAGAGCAATATTGATCTCAATGGCAAAATCAAGACCAGAGTAAGCAGACCAAAAAGTAAAAATAAAAATAAAGCATCATTTAAAAAGGAAATGAGCTTCTATAAAACAACATGTACCCTAATGGCTAACCTGAAGATGTTAGGGGCACACTCAACCAACATCAATGAAAAATGAAAAAACAAAAAAGTTTCCTACATCTAGAATATTTGTCACAAAACAAAGATCAAAACTATCAGATAGAGCAATTAAAGCTTTGTGTTTTAAAAGTTCATTTTAAAAATAACTTTTAAAATTAAATGTTTGTGCTATTATTTTTCCATTTTTAAGTGATTTTTATCTGGCATTTATTTTGCAATAATGTTCCCTCCTTTTTAATGTTTTCTATATCCAGTGCCTATATCAGGTGGAGATAATTTTTATGTTATTGAAATAATCTTGTCACAACATATTGGTTCATAATAATAATAAACCTTAAGGAAAAAGTCTGGAACTTTTAGCATCAATTTGTCACTGACAATTATTAACTGTTTATTATTCTGGTCATTCATTATTATTTAAAAGTATGTGAATATAATGTTATAGAAAATATGAGCCAGGCGCAGTGACTCACACCTGTCATCCCAACACTTTGAAAGGCTGAAGCAGGAAGATAGCTTGAGGCCAGGAGTTCAAAACCAGCCTGGTCACATAGTAAGACTCTGTCTCTAGAAAAGAAGAAAACAAAATAGCCAGGAGCACCCTAATGGCTAACATGAAGATGTTAGGGGCACACTCTATAGGCATGTACCTATAGTCTCAGCTACTCGGGAGGCTGAGGAAGGAGGGTCACTTGAGCTCAGGAGTTCGAGGCTGCAGTGAGCTATGATCGTACCACTGTACTCCAGCCTGGGTGACAGAGTAAGATCCTGTCTCCAAAAAAAAAAAAATTTAATGTATAATTTCAGGAATGCTCATGAATTCCCAGAAATTTCAATTTCTCATTCCTGAATACTGAACAGAAGTATTCGCGGGGAATTTGGAAACATTATTCTGGAGCTTTCAAACCTTTTAAAGCAGCAGACCCCTTTTTATCAAGCAAAATCTACCTGGGAAACAGAAGATATAAAAGAGGCAAAAATGAGGCTCTGGCTGAAGGAGAGGGGATAATATGGTCCTGTGCTGAACTTTGTGACCAATTTGTTGAGTGACTTGGAGTGGGGCCTGTCACTTTTGTGTCTCTAAGTCTTGGTTCCCTCATCCGTAAACTGCGGTTAATACAGCCTGCTTTACTGGGCCCCAAGGCTTGTTATGGGAGACAACTGAGAGATGCCTGGGAAAGAGCTTTGTAAACTTAGGACACCTTGAAGGCCATTATGTGCCAGACAGATGTCAATGTCGCTATTCCGAGGCTCTGCACTGACCTCAGAGGGTTTCCAGCCTGAGGAGAGGGGACGTCCACACACTGGATACAACCCTCGTCATAGGAGCCAGATGAGCAGAGCTGGGACTGGAGCCCTGAACTCCAGTGCCTCCTCCCGGCTGCTCTCCTGGGACCATCTCTCTGCCAGTGTTTGTCTCTTTTATGGGCTGGGGCTACAGGGTGCAAAGAACACCTTGGGTTTAAAGTGCAGCCATTCTGTAAGTAGCCAGGATCAGGCTGTAAAACAGAAAATTTTATCCCTCACATAAAAATTATGGATTACGAAAAGGGGAGTGTGAGTTTTGAGGAAGTTCAAAGTTCACTGAAATGGAGGCCAGAAAGTTATATTTTAGTCTGGAAGTGCCATAAAATGTAGAGGAATATGTCAGTTCCCCTTTCAGAACTTCAGCTCTCACCTCTGTAGAAGCCAGGAGGGCTTGAATGACTCCACTTTTCCACTCAGAAGATCCACAGTGTCTCATTCCCCAGATGAGCTCACACAGAAAAAGAACTCAAGTTGGTCCATCTGTTTCCTGAGTGGCCTTGCTAAGTGGAGCTCTGGTCTCCCTCAACCCAGGGAGTCCTTTTTGCAAATAACAGCTGTTTGTCACAGAACAGGACAGTCAAGTTTGCTTTCTTAACCTGTGTTATCTTAACATTAAAAAAGTTATTATGTGTTAAAATAGGAGGCCATTGATTTGAATTAGTGTCCTTTACTGAGCCTAGCAGACCAAACCAATATGAAGCCATCACGCTTAATGAAACTAATTACTTTAGGAATATATTCTTGCAAATGGTTGAGGTTCAGTGAGTCACACAGCTGAACTTAATGAACTACAGTAGGTCAGCTGAGTTGAATAAGGTAAGACGTTTAGGTAGAACTAATCAACCAATTAAGCTGTAACCAATTAAGTTGTCTCTGTATCTCACTTCTGTTCTCTCTCTATCTACAAATGTTGCCTGATCATGGTGTTGGCCTGAGTTCTCTGAAAGTTCTCTGAACCTGTTTTGGTTCTGGGGGGCTGCCTGATTCCCAAATTGTTTTTTGTTTCTCTTTGTTTTGAATCATTTTAATTGGTCAAGTAAACTGTTGAACTTAGTTAGTCTAAGGATTTTTCCTTTTAACATTGTAATAAAAAGCAACACATGCTTGTTCAAATAAGGTGGAACAGGACAGAAGGATATGAAGTAAAACATAAGCTTCCTTCTTCCTCCAAGCCTGTCCCCCAGAGGCCATCACATCCTTCCTGACATTTTCCTAGGTTCATACAAACACATACGCATATGTGTAATTTAGGAGGTTTTTTTGTTCTTATTTTTGTTTTCTTGAGGAGGAAAAGTGTTTTTTGGTTTGTTTGTTTTTGTTTTTGTTTTATGAGACCATTCTGTAACTTGCTGTTTTTTCTCTATGTATAGAGGGCAGTTTCCAAGTCAGTACATTTTTGTAATGGCTGCCTATTATTCCATTTTTTGTGGCTGTATCATAATCTTTATGTATTTCCCAATTGATGGGTACTTGGATTTTTATAATGTTTTGC